>NC_000010.11:8343333-8494848 GCF_000001405.40 Homo sapiens | reverse complement strand
AGCTTCTCAGGAGGCAAAGCCAAGGGTTATGATATGGAGAAGTCGTGATGGGACTTTTCTAATCAGCAAATATGAAGAAAGAGAATCTTGAAGCCCAGAGGATTTGAAGATGGGAATAACAATATCACATAAGAGATTCAGTTAAATCTGTGAGGGAGACAGAGATTGTAGCTGCCTCAGTCCCCCTAGTTTTTCCAGCCTATTTCTAGTCCATGTTTCCCAATAATGTACACAGTTGAATCTAAGACACATAGACTTACCCAAAATGGAAGACAGTCTCTATTTTTTGAAAATGAAGAGTCAATATTGACTTGGAAAATAAATTAGGAATAGAATGGTCATTGGTAAGGAATGAAGCAAAGGGATTCCAGAGGTCATGTGATTATGAAATGATAGGGAATCTGTTTTTTACCTTATACTGTCAGTGTTTCCTGGTTTTTACAATACATGTATATTATAACTTTTAAATTCAATACATTTAATTCCAAGAAAAGAAGTGACATAGAGGACACAGAAGCCAATGTAATAAACTGAGAGCCTAACCAAAAAAATAAACGAATTAATTAAATAGAGAGAGAAGGAAGGACTGAGGAGAGAGTAGGCTCAAAGCAAACTTTTTTTGGCATGGAAAGATGTACAATGGTCTGAGAGCAGATGGGGAGGAGTTAAGGGACAAGAGAATTGAAAGAAAGAGAATTCTTGCCCCAATATGTGATGTTCACCTCCCTGTGTCCATGTGTTCTCTTTGTTCAACTCCCACTTATAAGTGAGAACATGCGGTGTTTGGTTTTCTGTTCCTGTGTTTGTTTGCTGAGAATGATGGTTTCTGACTTTATCCATGTCCCTGCAAAGGACATGAACTCATTCTTTCTTATGGCTGCATGTCAGGAGGTGGGGGACAGGAAGAGGGAGAGCATTAGGACAAATACATAATGCCTGTGGTGCTTAAAACCTAGATGACGGGTTGATAGGTGCAGCAAACCACCATGACACATGTATACAACAAACCTGCACGTTCTTCACATGTATCCCAGAACTTAAAGTAAAATTTTTTTAAAAAAGAAGGAGAATTATTGCAAGGAGCTAGCATCAAAGCATCAGAGACACAGTGTCAGGACAGACTTAGAAAAAAAATAATAATGAAAGGACACCCTCTACCTCCACCTCAGCAAAACAAGAGCAAGGTAGGAGGATGGGTATAAAGACAGAAAGGCTTTAAGGATGAGACAGGGAGATACTTGACCTTGTTGTGTGGGTTTAATTTTCTTTGTAAATGAAAAATAAAGGACCAGGTGCCGTGGCTCATGCCTGTAATCCCAGCACTTTGGGAAGCCAAGGTGGGTGGATCACAAAGTCAGAAGTTCAAGACCAGCCTGGCCAAGTTGGTGAAACCCCACCTCTACTAAAAATAACAAAAATTTAGCCAGGCACGGTGGCAGGCACCTGTAATCCCAGCTACTTGGGAGGCTGAGGCAGGAGAATCACTTAAACCTGGGGGGCGGAGGTTGCGGTGAGCCGAGATCATGCCACTGCACTCCAGCCTAGGCAACAGAGTAAGACTCTGTCTCAAAAAAAAAAAAAAAAACAAAAGAAAAAGAAAAAGAGAAGAAAGAAAGAAAAGAAAAAGAAAGAAGGCAGGTGAGTCACACACACACACACGGAAGATGGAGAAATTTTAGATATCAATGGAGGATGTGAGGAATAAACAATAGACGATCACCAGGCTGCTCTCAAAGCCCCGTTACAGTTGATTCTAAATAGGATCACATCTGTACCTTTCTGTGGCCTGACCCCAGAGGCAATATATCCAGCAGGCACAGAGCTCACTGCCTACAATAATTTTAGGGGTCTAGAAAAAGGCTTTAATTCCTTTTAAGATCAGAGGATAAAAACAAATTTTTAGGGTAGAAGATTAGATTTACCTTTATACCAAAGCAGTCATAAAATATATCTTTAAATTTTTTTAATGCAGGAAGGGACCCATGAAGGTAAAAGTGCCTCGGGCCCATGGAGTGATGAGAATATATGTTCTCAGGGCATCAGAAGGCAAAGTCAGCGGTCGAGGTGATCAGGGGATAAAGTTAGTATATGCAAAGGAAAAGAAGATGAAGGATGCTAGAATTTTAATGAGGGTACAGTATTATCCAAGTGGCTGTTGGTGTGGATTCTGAGGCAGATACACATAGTTAAGAGAGGATAACTGCTAGGTAAAAAGACTGAGTAGAAGCAAAAAAGATTCATTGGTACAGAGCCGTGGAAAAGATAACCATGAAAGGGGCTGTGGTTGGAGATGGGAGCATCAGATGCAAGATTTGAGAAGTTGGGAGGCACCTTATGATAATGAGGGCTAAGGACACTCACTGGTAGAAGCCAAAGACTCAGTGTGACAAGGTTAAGACAGGAGAAGGAACTGTGAGGTCTAGGAGTAAACATGAGATAAAGAAGGAATCCAGGAGGTCTCAGAATTTGCGAGCACCGGCCGGGCGCGGTGGCTCACGCCTGTAATCCCAGCACTTTGGGAGGCCGAGGCGGGCGGATCACGAGGTCAGGAGATCGAGACCATCCTGGCTAACACGGTGAAACCCCGTCTCTCCTAAAAATACAAAAAATTAGCCAGGCGTGGTAGCGGGCGCCTGTAGTCCCAGCTACTCGGGAGGCTGAGGCAGGAGAATGGCGTGAACCCGGGAGGCGGAGCTTGCAGTGAGCCGAGATCGCGCCACTGCAGTCCAGCCTGGGCGACAGAGCGAGACTCCGTCTCATAAAAAAAAAAAAAAAAAAAAAAAAAAAAAAAAGAATTTACGAGCACCAAATCAAGTATTCCCAAATGAGCCCTCTTACGCTAATATTGCAAAATTAGGTCTTTGTGTAACAAGGGGAAGAAAACTGAACTAGCAGGCAGATGACCCAGTTCCAGGTTCCATTTACCACTCACCAGGTGCAAGCTGGACAGATAAACTCTTTGAAATGTGTTGCATCTAGAAATGTTTTCATTAATACCACATTTGCCTAAGAGCAATAGGCTGGGATTTTTTTTCAATCTTTTGATATATTTTCAAGCTCTAATTTCTGTCACTCCATAGGTCTGTCATGCAGTAAGGATTGCAATACAAGGGTTGCTTGCATCATAGTTGTGAGTCCACAGGGTTAAGTGGTAGGCAAAGCTTACAAATGGGTATAAATACACAGGTGTAAGAGGAAAGGATATTCCTTCTTCTGTTCAAGAAGAGAAACCTTTTTGTTATCATTACATCACTTCTCCCTTTTCAGTAATAAGCCATGAAAGAATATGCCTCCACTTTTCCATTTCTTGCCTTTTGAAGTTAATTTCCAATCCTAACTGTAAATCAGAAATGGTGCAATCTTTTGATATGTTACAGAGCAATGAAAATTTAATTTATATAATATCTTCCCTTTTTTCAGTGCCTCGTTCAATTGAAGCAGAAGCAGCTGTGAATGATGGCCAAGTTAAGAATAAAAAGTAACATCAAAGTGATGTCTGTAATTATGATTTCAAACAGCATGGGCCACTTGGGAAGATTTGGGTGAAATATGAAAAGGATGTGATTGACTAACCAAAATAGAATATAGACATATAGAAAGTGAGGTATTTTGTAAATTTCTGAATTACTTTACCCATATACAGTCTAAAGGACAAATTTGAAAGTAAACAAGTGCATTGGGTATTAAATTTTCATATGAGTGTGTGTGCACATGCATGCTAAACTGGGGGGCATACTGTTCAGTTACAAGTGCCTCATATGGGTTCCCAGCTTCAAAATTAAGTGTGCTTTTTCATTCCTGAAAGCACTAAACAAAGGAAGGATGCTAGCTTTCAGAACGCCCCAGATGGCACTGAGGTGGGAGTAGAGCAGTGTATTTGTCCATTCTCATGCTGCTAATAAAGATACACCTGGACTGGGTAACTTATAAAGGAGAGAGGTTTAATGAACTCACAGTTCAGCGTGGCTGGGGAGGCCTCAGGAAACTTACAATCATGGCAGAAAGAGAACTAATACGTCTTTCTTCACATGGCGGCAGCAAGGAGAAATGCTGAGCAAAAGGAGAAAAAGCTCCTTATAAAACCATCAAATCTTGTGAGAAATTACTATCATGAGAACAGCAGCATGGGGGTAACAGCTGCCGTGATTCAATTACCTCCCACCTAGTCTCTCCCACGACAGGTAGTATTATGGGAACTATCATTCAAGATGAGATTTGTGTGGGGACACAGCCAAACCATATCACGCATCATATGGGGACATAAGTGAAAGAAAAGGAATCAAAGGACCAGCTAGGGAGGGGCCTATCACTCCTCACAGGCCAAGTCTTCTTTACTCTGCAAAGCATCTCGAACCACTATTAACCCTCTGAGTGTGGATCTATAAATTCCTAAACTTGATGTGAATTTGGAGAACAATGCATGTCACTGGATGGAGGTGACATTTCTATGAGAAGAATGAGCTTTTATTGGAAGTGAAATTGGGCCATTTTATATGGGAGCCCTCGATGCCAATAAGCTCTCACTGTGCATATTAATAGACTTCTAGAAGAAGAGGGGTCAATTTTCCTGCCAGCAGAGTCATTTGTTTAACGTGAAAAGGTCTTCCAGAGCAACTGCAATGGAATTCCTCAGAACGCTGGCTTAAGGGATGAGCAACCCAGGCCTATTTTGTTTCAATGAACCCTTAAAGCCTCAGAGGAAGGAGATCCATACCCTCATCTGGGGAGGCAGGGAGTGAAGTCAGACCCAATGGCAAAGCCACGGGCAAACACAGTTTAGTGTCTGTGACACCCAGGGACTTTTTGTGAAATTAAACGACACATCTGGCAGAACCAGCCCCAGCTCCTGGGTGCTCCCAGAGGCCACTGCTCTGAGCCCTGATAAGATGCTATCAGCAGGCCCCTCTAAGTACGTTAAGCACTTTAAGCAGATCACTGGGCAATTACCATAAAGAGTGAAAGATACGGCCTCTACTGATGGGAGAGTAATATGGAACACAAGGCCATTGATATTTTTCTGCGTCTTATTTCTGATTATAAACTTGTTCTGCAGCCACCTGAGGTTAGTTGGTTTGCCATCGTACTGGAGAGTTACTGAGAATATATTTGGATACAAATATTTCGGAAGAGAGTCCTGCTTTTTAATTTACATGTGTGTTTGTGGGTTTTGGTTTTTTGTTTTGTTTTTTTTTTGTTTTGTAGAGATGGGGTCTCTACAAAAGAGTGCGTTTGCTTTTCTCACTAAAGTGCTAGAAGAACTTTCTAGTATTAATGGCTTTATCCAAAGGTTCTTAAGTGCCATATAGTAACTACTATGTATTACGTGCCTGCTATATTCCAGGCACCGAATGAGGCATTACCTAGATAGGATAATTCAATTCTCACAAAATTATACCTAAGGCAAATATGCCATCCTCACACTGCATATGAGAAAAACCAATGTCCAGAATGATTGGGAAACTTGCCCAAGCTCACTCAGATAATAAGCAGTGAAGAAGGGAATGAGACCTAGTAGATATTAGTATAGTTCTATGCAATTTTATAGGTAATTTTACCTGTATTCTATTAATTATTTAGCAATTACTCATTGCAGAGATACTGGAGAAGTAGAAATCAGAGTATTCAAAGCTTAGTTGTATAGAAAGATAAGTGAAGAAATACAGAAGACAGAATGATGACACAAGTTTCTAGCCTGGACCACTAACAGGATGCTAATGCCTTTAACCAAGTCCAGGGAAGAAAGAAAATAAAGAAAGAAAGAGCAAGAGGTGTGAAATGACAAGTTCCATTTCAGACAGTTTGTTTTAATTTTTAAAAATACACTTGTACATTATTAAAGTAATATAAATAAAAGAAATATTACTTTAGACCAGGTGTGGTGGCTCATGCCTGTAATCCCAGAACTTTGGGAGGCTGAGGTGGGAGGATTACTTGAGGTCAGGAGTTCGAGGACAGCCTGGTCAACATAGCAGGACCCCATCTCTAAAAATATTTAAAAATTTTCTAAAATTTAGTGCCTATTTAAGAAATATTATTTTAGTATATTTATTAGTTATTCTATATAATATAAAACATATATAAAATGTATATATTATACGCTTACAGAATACATATTTTCATATATTTATTATTGTTACTAAAGTAATATAAAAGAAAATTGAGAAGTGGGAAGAGGAAAAATAATAAATTATCCACAATGTCACCATTTCAGCCCAATTGTCCTCCATTTTTTATTCCTATATTTTTATATACATCTTTCTGTTTACAATTGCAGTGAGAGTGCATATCACATGATGGTTTTTTCTTTTCGTCATGTGATATTTCAAAAATGCTACATAATCTTCATATTTATTACTTTTCGTGTATCCCTCCCATCCCATCCAGAGGATATACTATTACTGACTTAACAGTTTCTTTTATTGTTTCGGCAATTAACTGACTTATGACTTTCTGCTATTTTAAATCAATTTGTGTTGAATAAATTCATGTACTCTCCTTAAGGGGCTCAGATGCCAAGAAATAGGATTCTGGGTAGGTCAGATTTTGTTTATTTTTGATGCTGGTGAATTCCAATAAAACGTTTATTGGACATGTGAATTCTGAGTCCAGCATTCAAGAGAAAAGTCAAGACTAGAGATACAGATCTGGGTGTAGAGACGCAGCTTTTGGAGAAAGATGCAGCCAAGGCACGGTAGGAGTTCTAAAACATGACGGCTACTTCTTTGATCCTTCTCCCAATGAGAGGGGCAATCTATATCCCCCAACCATGAGTCTGGCAGGGTTTGTAGTTGCTTTGAAGGAAAGATTTTGATGGCTGGAGAAGAAGTGTGTCTTACAATGGCAGGGAGCAGAGGACACTGTGGAATCTCCAAGGCTCCATCATGAAAGACTACAGGATATCCACCTGCTTCTCCTGGTGTGCTCACTCTGGAAGGTCCCAGTTGCCATGCTGTAAGAAGCCCTAGTCACATGAAGGAACCACAGGTAGGTGCTCTGCTTGAGTCTCAGATTAGACAAGACTTATGTCATCCCAGTCCAAGACCCAGACATGTGAGTGAAGAAACTTTCAGAAAATTCCAGTCTTCCTCCATTGGAAACATATCTCAGCCATTCGACACATCCCTGACCAGGACCCATAGAACACGGAAGAGATATAAGGCATCCCTGCTATGCCTTGTTCAAATTCCCGATGCACAGAATGCAAAAGTGAAATCAAATGGTTGATGCATCATGACTCACAGCTTAGGAAGGTTTGACAGGCAGCAATAAACCGTAGGCTAATTTGGTACCCGGAAGGGGTCTCCTCCATAACAAAAGGCGAAATTTGCAGCATTGGTTTTGGAGCACAGTGAAGGACAGAAGCCAAACAGTCCTCCCGGAGGCTATCAATGAGGGCTTGAAGGAGGATAGTGAAGACATTGGTGTTGGGAGCTAAGAAAGGAGCCATTGTTACATAGCAGCAATGCCTTCTGCAACACTGTCCCATGGAAAATGTGCTTAACAAACTCAACCACGAAGATAAAGGAGAATTTCAGGAGAGCGTTGAAGGGTTGCCTACATTTTAGCCCTCTAAAATAAAATGAGAGAGTAAGAGAGATAAACTAAAGAATGAATTACTCCATAATTTGGAGAAAATGTATAATTCAGAGGAAATGTAAATAGAAGGAAATGTAACTGATAAGAAACTTGAAAGGACCGTAACAGAGAGCAGAGTCCTCAAAATAAGAAATGAACTGGGCACAGTGGCTCATGCCTGTAACCACAGCGCTTTGGGAGGCCAAGGTGGAAAGATTACTTGACACTAGGAGTTCTAGACCAGCCTGGGCAACAAAGCAAGACCATGTCTCTATGAAAAATAAAAATAAAAATAAAAAAATCGCCAGGTATGGTGGCACATGCCAATAGTTTTAGCTTCTCTTCTCAGGAGGCTGAGGCAGGTGAATCACTTGAACATGGGAGTTGGAGGTTTTAGTGAGCTATGTTCTCTACACTGCACCCCAGACTGGGCTACAGAGGAAGACCCTGTCTCAAAAAGGAAGGGAAGGGGAGGGGAGGGGAGGGGAAAGGAGGGCCAACCTCAGGGCAAAGATAAAATCCAAGGCCTTTTCAAGAAAATATGGCCTCAGGGTAAGGATGAATTCCTTACCTACAGAATTCCTGAGAATAATAAAATGGTTATATTATGCCACTAAATTTGAGGTGGCTTTTCATGCAGCAAAAGGTACCTGAAACATGCACAAATGAAATTCTCAGAAGAGAGGCACCACGTGTGGAGAAGGAAGAGCTAAGGCCTGAGAGAACAAGGAGAAAAAAGAAATAAGCAGAATGAGAAGAGATATTCTTAAAGGAATCAATTGCTCATTATCACAAAATGGAATATAACTTCTTTCACTGGGCATAATTATTTTGAGAGTCATCCGTTTTATTTCATGTATTTAAGTGTATAGGTGTACAATGATTTGGTTATCCATTCACACTTTGAAGGACATTGGAATTCCTTCCAGGTTTTAGAGATGAAGAATAATGCTGCTAAAAGCATTCATGCACAGGTTTTTGTGTGAACCTAAGTTTTTGTTTATCTAAGATAAATCCCAAGGCATGATATTGCTGGGTCATAAAGGATGCATATGTTTACCTTTGTAAGAAACTGTCAGACTGTTTCCCAGAGCAGCTGGACCACTTTGCATTCCCACCAGCCGTGGAAGAGGATTCCTGTTGCTTCACATCCATCATCACTTGGCACCCTCGGTGCTTTTCGTTTTCGCTGTTCTAAGAGGTGCGTAATGGCATCTCATTGTGTTCATTTGTATGTTCCTAATGACTAATGATTTTTTCATTGGCTTACTTGCCTACCTTTTATCTTCTTGGTGAAGCTTCTGTTCAAATCTTTCATGCATTTTTCAATTAGGTTGTCTATTCCCTTATTGTTGAGTTTTGAGAGTTCTTTACTCCAGATATGTATCTTTTGTCTGATACATTATTTGCCAACATTTCCTCCCAATCTGTAGCTTATTGTTTCAGTTTCTTAAGTGTGTTCTTCGAAAAGCAAAATGTTTTTACCTTTCATGAAATCCAACTTATTTTTTTTTTTTTATGACGAGAGGGCTTACCTACAATGGGTCAGAATGAGGAAATTAGGGAAGGAGAGGAGTTGCTGAATCTATTCTGTATCCTGTTTGTGGGAGTAGTCATGAGAATCTATGCACATGTTAAGACACATTGGACTATACACCAAAAAATGTGAATGTAAATTCTTAAAAAATCTCTTTTACATCTACTAATATATGGCGGACAGAAGACTGTACCTGACATAAATCAGAGCTTTCCAATGCATAAAATCTTATTTTTTAATTAGAGAAAATATGAAACAGAACATATGTGTATAAGCGTGAAAGTGACATACGCTTATATACTAACTCTCTGCGTTGTTTAACGTAATTTATGTGCTGATTTTATGCTAATTTCAGCAGTTGACCAATAGCAAAAGAATTTGTTCTTTCAGGAATTTGCCCAGCAAAAAAGATGCTTAAGTATTACAGAGACCAGTGTTTCATTTGTACCAGGTATGATGGAGCACAAGGAAAATGACTTGTGGAGACGAGTCCATTGCAGATTGCGTAACAACAAATGAGTTCACAGCAGGGCTCTAAGTGCCCCAAAACATTTAGGACCATTCGAAACTATACAGATTATTGACTCCACCTCCAGATAAACAAGATCAAACAACCTGGTCTTTTTTCTCCGCCTTTGTGACTAACCAAAGCCTGAAGTTCTCAGCAGTACTTTCCTAATTGGCTTCATCATTTTGTTATTGTGCTTAGGGCAGTTAACATCTGCATTTCCAATGGACCATCCTGACATTTCAGTTCCCTTTAAATGACCCTAAATGGTTTTCTATGTTTCAGCATAACCAGTGAATCCACTCTTTGGGGTAATTGTCACTTAGAAAAGGTAAGTGCAAGGTTTTTTTTGTTTTGTTTTGTTTTGTTTTTTTGAGACAGAGTTTCGCTCTTGTTGCCCAGGCTGGAGTGCAGTGGCGCGATCTCGGCTGACTGCAACCTTTGCCTCCTGGGTTCAAGCAGTTCTCCTGCCTCAGCCTCTCAAGTAGCTGGGATTACAGGGCCACCACGTCCAGCTAATTTTTTGCATTTTTAGTAGAGACGGGGTTTCGCCCTGTTGGGCAGGCTGGTCTCCAGCTCCTGACCTTAGGTGATCTGCCCGCCTCGGCCTCCCAAAGTGCTGGGATTACAGGAATGAGCCACCGCGCCCAGCAGTGCAAGTTTTTTGTTGTTGTTGTTTGTTTTTTGGGTTTTTTGTTTTGTTTTGTTTTTTTGGTGTGTTTTATTTTGTTGTTGTTTTTTTTTCCTTACAGACCTTAGAAGGTGCGGATATTGAGGGTTTCTGCATGTATTGGGAGACATATATTCATTCTCGTTCTGCCGTGAAAGACGCAGAGGTGATACTGGGAGCTAACCAGAGTAAATTTCTGACACTTTACTGTTTACGCTCAGCATTTTCCCATTTCTGTGGCTTTTCTTACAGGTTTTCCTCCTCTGGAACGCTCTCTCTCACGGGTTTCTGTGCCCCACAGCACCACCCTTGATTTCGCAAGCTACGATAGTGTCCCCTCTGCCCCAAAAGGCTGCCACATCGTTGGTACCACCATTATTTTAGCACTAATTACGTTCTCCTTCATATATTGTTTATTACACATTGATCTCTGGCTCTGTTCCACTGCAGCTTCTGGTAGAAAAAGATCATGCCACATTCAGTTTCTCTCTCTCAAAGGGCTTTGAACATCTGCGGAAGCTTTCATCTAGTCTGTAGCTTGTGTTTTCATTCTCTTCACTGTGTTCTTCAAGAAGCAAACGTCTTAGCTGTGGTGAAGCCCACTTTATCATTTTTTTCTTTCA
This sequence comes from Homo sapiens, assembly GCF_000001405.40. Lineage (NCBI taxonomy): Eukaryota > Metazoa > Chordata > Mammalia > Primates > Hominidae > Homo > Homo sapiens. The sequence continues at coordinate 8,483,935 of NC_000010.11, read as the reverse complement.
TGGATAATATTTCTTGTGTTATATCTAAGAACTCTTTGCCAGATCCTAGGATTTAAGATGGGGAAAACATCTATGTACAAAAGGTTAACATGAAGCAATGCGGGGAGGTGGGAGAATGAGGATTATTTGATATTCTCTTTGTGGTGGGGGTTAAAATTTCATAAAACTCATAGAACTGTAAACCAAAATATTTATTTATCACTTCCTGAAGTGCTAAAAGTATATTTGCTTGATTTGTTTGCATTTTTTAATTTTTATTTATTTATTTATTTATTGAGACAGGGTCTCACTCTGTAGCCCACCCTGGAGTGCAGTGGCACTATCTCACTTCACTACAATTTCTGCCCCCGAATTCAAGCGATTCTCCTGCCTGGGCTTCCCAAGTAGCTGGGATTACAGGCACCCACCACCACGCCCGGCTATTTTTTGTATTTTTAGCAGAGATGAGGTTTCATAATGTTGGCCAGGCTGGTCTTGAACTCCTGAACTCAGTTTATTCGCCCGCCTCGGCCTCCCAAAGTGCTAGGATTATAGGAATGGGTCACCATGCCTGGCTGCTTTGTTTGTATTATTAAGGAAAATATTTTTGCTAAATTATCCTAGGAACACACTTTTCTAAATACAAGTCACATTCTTGTTACCCCAGCAAGCTAAGGGAATGGAGTAAAATACCGTCACTCAATCAGCAATATAGATGAAGGATCTACTCTGTACCAAAGTACTTTTCTTCCTCTCCTCTTCAAATGACCCTCAATGGCAACTGGCTGTGTCTCCAGTGACATGTGAACCATAATGAAGAGTGGAATAAAAAACTATGACTCATCTTTGGAGGCTCTCCGTTTTCCCCCTTACTTTTGAGTGATAGAAAACGTATCCTGGCCGGGCGTGGTGGTTCATGCCTATAATCCCAGCACTTCAGGAGGCCCAGGGGGGTGGATCACCTGAGGTCAGGAGTTCAACACCAGCCTGGCCGACATGGTGAAACCCCGTCTTTACTAATAATACAAAAATTAGCTGGGCGGAGTGATGAGTGCATGTAACCTCAGCCACTTGGGAGGCTGAGGCAGGAGAATTGCTTGGACCCAGGAGGCAGAGGTTGCAGAAAGCTGAGATCGCGCCATTGCACTCCAGCCTGGATGACAAGAGTGAAACTCCATCAAAAAGAAAAAGAAAAACAGAAAGAGAGAGAGAGAAGAGAGAGAGGAGGGAGGGAAGGAGGAAGGGAGGGAGGGAGGGAAGGAAGGAAGGAAGGAAGGAAGGAAGGAAGGAAGGAAGGAAGGAAGGATTAAGGAAGGAAGAGAGAGAGAAAAATATCCTATCCTATGGTCTCTCTATATTTTAGCTTCTTCCTGGGAAGGAGAGTGGCTTGGACACAAGAAGACAGAGAGAGAGAGTATTAACTTCTCTTCCTCCTGCCTCCTTTAAAGGATGCCTCAGAAGGAATGTGGGCTCTCTCTTCCCCAAGGTGCCTGCAGAACGTACAGTGGGATACTTCAGTTCTGATCTACCTCGTAGAGGACATGCATCCCTATTATCTATCTCCTGCCTTCCTGCACACCTTTTAGAATTATATTTGCAGTGCCCTACTGGAGATGTTGACATCCACAAAGCAGGAAATGCTGACGGGCTCCCAGATCCTACTTATGAAAAGGAATTTTATTGCGCCTGAACTCAAAGCTTGCTGGCTCTCCACAGTAAAGGCTTTCTCCATTTCCATGACTGTGTGCCATAAGGAAATAGAATGAGATTTATGAGCATTGCCCCAAACTTGCCACAGCAGGGTTAAAACAATTTTGTTTAAAAAAAAGATTAAAAAGCAGAAGAAATGGTCTTGAGTGAACACAGATTTGCCGATGATTCAATCACCTTTTATTTTAAGGCAAGGTATCTTTCTTGAGAGAGAATACATGAACCATTCCTCCGATTCTACCGTCACTTTATTTTGAGGAACAATGGCCCAGGTGGAGTGCCATCACGGGAACACAGACTACTCAGAAATGTCACATTGACTGACGCGTATGATTGATTTATGACATGTACTTTGCCTTAAGTTCTCTGAGCTCTTGTGCAAAACCCAAACTCATAACAATTAAGCTAAGTCCTTTAATTAGTAATGTAAATTAAAGATTCAATCTTCAATCAATCTGGAAGAGACTTCAGAAGGGCTATGTAGTAGGCACTTATACCTTACCCCTAGTAAATTTATACAGTTCTCTGCAGCATTGTGTATGCCACCCTCTCCTAAGTGGCTTCAGCTGTGAACATACAGCTCTGTGATAATATAAAGCCAGTTAGACTTAGACAGTAATGGAGTGAAATTCCAATTGCAAACTTTTTACAGCCTAGCAAAGCACTCCCTAAAAACTTATAGAAATTCCAGATAGATCTAGGTCTCTGCTTAGCAACAGTTAACAGTGCAGGGACTATCACACCAATTTCCTTATTTTCATCTCTCATGATTTTGCACGTCTGAGAGTGGCAGGAAAAAGTGGCATTCACTGCCAAATTGTTTCTAAGAACAGACAGTTTACATGGAAAGCAAAATTAAAAATAAATAAGATAATACTACATTGCAAGGAGCTTGAAAAAAACAAAAACAAGTAAGCAAGCTGAACTTTTATTTACACAAGCATCAATATGTTTGATGCTTTTGTTTTCTTAAGAGCAAAATCGTAGTTACTTAATATCATTTACCTCACCAAACTATATATATAAAAAGAACATCCAATTTAATTTACCTGAAATGTACATCCTCAGAGGTTTTATCACTAAAAAAATTAAAAATTGAAGGGCCAGGCACACTGGTTCAACTCTGTAAACCCAGCACTTTGGGGGCTGAGGCTAGAGGACTGCTTGAGCTCAGGAGTTTGAGACCAACTTGGGTAACATGGAGACTCTGTCTTTGCAAAAAAATACAAAAGCTAGCCAGGCATGGTGATGCACACCTCTTCTCCCAGCTACTCGGGAGGCTAAGGTGGGAGGATTGCTTGAGCCCAGGAGAAGGAGGTTGTGGTGAACCGAGATCACACCACTGCACTCCAGCCTGGGCAACAGAATGAGACTCTGTTAAAAAAAAAAAAAAACTGAGAAATTCACAATAAACAACAGTTGAACTCAGCTATCAAAGGAGGCCCAAACAATAAAATAAGTCATTTATTCTATTCTTTTGCCAATCCATTGTATGTATGAAAAAAAGATGAAGCATAGGGGAGAAAAGTATGTACAAGATCAGATAACATGAAAGGCATAGAAATTACGTTGTATTTAAGTATTCATTTATTCAGTAACTATACACAAAGTGCTTTCCAGATGCAGGGTCTTTCCAGAGTACTGACCCAGAAAGAGAGCTTTGATTCCCAGGCTTCTCCACTATTCCACACTGAGTCAAAGTATGAGATTTTTGATCAGTAATTGTCCACCTTGGCCAGGCGTGGTGGCTTATGCCTGTAATCCCAACACTTTGAGAGGCCAAAGAGGGAGGAGTGTTTGAGGCCAGGAGTTCAAGACCAGCCTGGGCAACATAGCAAGACCTCATCTCTATTCTTCTATTAAAATAATAATAATTCTCATTCCATTATAAAGATATATGTACATGTATGTTCATTGCATCACCATTCATAATAGCAAAGACATGGAATCAACCCAAATGCCCACCAATGATAGACTGGATAAAGAAAATGCGATATATAGACACCATGGAATACTATGCAGCCATAAAAAGGAGCAAGATTGTGTCCTTTGCAGGGACATGGATGGAGTTGGAAGCCATTATCCTCAGCAAACTAATATAGTAACGGAAAACCAAGCACTGCATGTTCTCACTTATAACTGAGAGCTGAACAGTGAGAACACATTGACACAGGGAGGGGAACAACACACACTGGGGCCTCTCAGGGGAGGGCAGGGGGTTGGAGAACATCAGGAAAAATAGCTAATGCACGCCAGGCTTAATACCTAGGTGATGGGTTGATAGGTGCAGCAAACCACCAGGGCACATGTTTACCTATGTAAGAAAACTGCACATCCTGCACATGTACCCTGGATCTTAAAATAAAATAAACTTAAATAAATATGGTTTAATAATAAAAAATAATGACAATAATAATAACTGTCCACCTGATGAGCTGCACAATCTAATTATCAAGCCAAGCATGAGAAAATGCTTTATTTCTATCTTTTAAATATTTGCCATGCAAAACTTGACTGCTAAACTGGAATGAATGAACACTGACTACATTTTTATACATCTGAAAACTCTACCACACCCCTAAAGATAGAGGGAAACATCCTTGAATATTGCAAAATCAAAGATAGGAACTCCTGCCCTAAATAAGAAAATGGTTATGGAACCTAACTAGATGGCTGCAGTACATATAGGGAAGAAAATCATTCACCAATAAATCCCAGTCTTCGTCCTAATTTCCATGTCAATGAAATGATGGAATAATAAAATATACCCAGAGGTCTATATTCTGCAGCTACCAGGTTAGCCTATAGAGATGTGAAACTAATCTTTTTAGAACAGCCTCGACAACAGGAAAAGATTACCCCAGAAAATATTCAGAAAGATCCTGCTAAAATAAATACCAGTTTTTCTGAAACTGTTGTTAGATGCTAGAAATAGCAATGGCCTCCCACCCACAAAAATTCTATCAAGGAATCTGATGGGATATGACAAACTCCAGTTGTCTTACATGTCTCCCACGTGCATCTCCACCTAAAGTTGCCCCATTATGAATTGGTTCTTCTTCCCTTGTCTCTCCTTATCTAAACATGGGTGTAATCTTAAACTCCTCTCTCCCTTTAACTCTTTATCTAAACTCTCACCTACTTTCACATCCATCATAAAATTCTGTGAAATTTAATTCTACCTCTCAAGTGTGTATCAGATCTATTCCACTCCCCCCTCCTCCTCCCACTGTGGGTCCCCTGCCACTAGCTGAGCAACTACCTGTCTCATTACAATGGCCACCTCTTCCTAACTGTTCTTCTTGTTGTGAATCTTGTCACTTCATGCCTAAACTCCCCACCATGCTGCCCACCTCACACCCAACTCTTTTTGGTGCCGCTGTTAAAGATTTTGTTTTTCTTTTTCTTTTTTTTTTTTTTTTTTTTGAGACAGAGTCACTCTGTCACCGAGGCTAGAGTGCAGTGGCGTGATCTTGGCTCACTGCTACCACCACCTCCTGGATTCAAGCTGATTCTCCTGTCTCAGCCTCCTGAGTAGCTGGGATTACAGGCATGTGCCACCACACCTGGCTGGTTTTTGTATTTTTAGTAGAGACAAGGTTTCACCATGTTGGCCAGGCTGGTCTCGAACTCCTGACCTCAAGTGATCCACCACCTCGGCCTCTCAAAGTGCTGAGAATACAGTCGTGAGCCACCGTGCCCGGCCAAGATTTTAAAATTCTAATTATAAGCCGAAAGCAGGGGCTCACCCCTGTAATCCCAGATACTCAAGAGGTCAAGGCAGAGAGTTGTTGAGCCCAGGAGCTTGAGACCAGCCTGGGCAACACATGCAGCAAGACCCCATTGCTAACATATTTATTATATTTTTACTTATATTTAGATATCTAAATATATATATTAAAATTCTAATTATAAAAGTAATGTATATACTCACTGTAGAAAATTTGGAAATTATCCTACAGCATAAAGAAAAAAATTTTAAAATTCCCAGTTATACCTTCCAAAGGTAACCACAGATTTTTGAAAATCTCTTTAAAAATAATACAGTCAAGATGCCTAAATAGTGACCACAGAAACTACTGGTTCTACTGCAGTGATTCTCTAACTTGATGATTCATCTAACTTATATGAAAATATAAGATTGGGACAGAGAACAATTCTTTCTTTTCTGCTCAGAGGACTTTAATTTTGTAATACATCACCTTCAGTCTTCTCACCCTGTCAATTGTGTGTATATTCCAAGTGTAGTCCTACTTGCTTGAAATAAGAATTGCATTGCATATGCTTTATAATTTCAGAATTATTCTTATCTGGAGGGACAGAATAACTTTTTAAAAATTGGTTAAAAGACATTAAGGAAGACAAAGTTGAGATTGCTAAGGAGAAAAATTAAATTAAAGATGTCTACTGCAGTTAACAAATGATCCCCAAATCTGAATGGCTTTCTAAGACAAAGGTTTGCTCCACACTTCATGCCTGTTATGGGCAGCTGCAAATCTGCTCTGTAGGACTTCACTTCAACACCAGACTAATGCAGTAGCCTCTGTCTGAATATTGACAATCGCTTAAAGGAGGGAAAAGACAATATGGTGAATCATGCCTGGCTTTTAGAACTTCTTTCCAAAAGTGTGTCACATATTATAGGCTGCAGCAGGCACATGGCCAAATTCAACACCAATAGAATAGAAAAGTATAATTCTGCCTTGGGAGAAGCAGCAAATATTGGTGAACACACAGACCACTCCACCTGCCTGAAACTACTGTGGTCTAATCTGTTATGGAAGCTCTTGACAGTGCAATAAGACAAGAAAAATGAATATGGAGTGTAAATTTTGGAAAGAAGATAAAATATTATTGCCAACAGATGATTTATCTAGAAAACCTAAGAGAATCAGCTGAAAGTTATTATAATGACTAAGAAAGTTTAATAAGATAGCTAGTAATAAAATACACAAATATTAACAGCTTTCTTACATACAATAATAACAAGTTTAAAAACGAATTATAGTTCCCTCTTTTAGATGGGGAATTAGAATTCAGACTCCAAATTTTATTTAGTACAATATCTTTTAGTACAAAAGATTATATTAGAAAGTATATAATAATAAGTTTATTATATATTATATTTATATTTTTGATAATATATACCATTGATTTTAAGCACTTTACTTTTATGTTATTTATTGTAACTTTTTAATCTCTATTTTATACATGGGAAAGTTAGGCAAAAAGAGATTAAGTAACTAGCCAAAGTTTACACAGCTCAGAGCTGGTGAAGACAGGATTCAAATCTATACACTATTGCCCCAGCTCTATGATCTTCAGGCTACGTTGCACTGTTTCTCATATCTACCTAAGAAAACATACACACAGTGAAAGTATTTCATCCAGTTAGAGAGATTATTGTTTGTAACTTAATATCACAAGATAAATGTTATAATATCTCTGATTAGGTATGTCCCTAACAAGATAGTCAGCTTAATTTGAATCATACCCTTCATTTTACTCATATTGATAATAAGGCAAAAGTAAGTTATCCCATTAATACAGGAATAACAGAACTAAGAACAGGCTACATCCCTGAGTATACTAAATTATTTGCATTCTTTTATCAAAAGTCTCCACCATCTATGAATCAATAAAGTTTTTGAGTGAAAAAAAAGTACTTCTTTCTTACTTTTAAGTTCAGTGGTACATGTGCAGGTTTGTTACATAGGTAAGCTTGTGTCATGGGGGTTTGTTATACAGATTATTTTGTCATTGAGGTACTAAGCCTAGCACCCATTAGCTACTGTTTTTATCCTCTCCCTCCACCCTCCACCCTCAATTAGGCCCCAGTGTGTGTTATTCCCCCCTCCATGTGTTCATGTGTTCTCATCATTCAGTTCCCACTTATAAGTGAGAACATGCAGTATTTGGTTTTCTGTTCCTGCATTAGTTTGCTAAAGACAAAGGCCTCCAGCTCCATCCATGTTCCTGCAGAGGACATGATTCCATGGTGAAAAAAGCACTTTTAATTTTACGGAACACTTGGGATGATAATAGTGAAAGAGTTGTTTGTTTGTTATTAATTCCTGGGAGGACAGAAGGAAATGCTGTAGTAAAATCCGCAATGGGGTGGACCCAGGCTTGCTGCCAATTGTGGCACCATTCCCATTGGGAATCTTGGCAAAGTAAAAAGGGATCCAGGAGGAACTGGGGTATGGAGGTGTTGTGTCAGGTCAGTCCCACCTGTCTTATTGCAGGGTTCAGGATAAATTCCACAGTATCCACGGGCATAAGCTTTATTGGGAAGATGAAAATGTATGAGGCTGAATCAGCAAGAGAAGGGAAAGCAGAAGTCCTCTGACTCCTCCATCCTCCTACAGGAAGATGGAGGACCCAAAGGGCTTTTGGTTCTGTGGTGTGGGTCTGGGTTCCACTAGAGGACTACTGCTCCTTTCATTCAAGCTTTTTACAGGGCAGAAATGAGAAAGCAGCCTGGTCAGTGGGGCAATACACCAGCTACTCGGAAATCAGCAGCTTAGAGTTCAGTTGCCAGCTGTTTAGGAGATTTGCCTGGTAACTCCAGCTGCCCAGCACCTGAAGTCCATAGGGTAAATAGGATTTTGTAGCATACTTGCTTCAGGAGGGACCTTGGGTCCAGTGCACAGCTGAGTTTAAATGCAGTCCCTTCCCACTGGGAGAAGGGAACATCTCTGTGTCTCAAACAACTTTCTTATCAATACAGAACCAATTCTTTTCAGAAAATTGTGTTTACTGAATCACAGGTAGAAAGGGAACTTGAAGATCTTGGCTTGAAGATATACCAGGTCAGATTTTAAAAATGTGTTGCCCAGTAGATTTCAATCTAACGAGAATCCCTAATTTAAAACACAAATAGTCAGTCTTTATTATTCTGCAGTGTTTCAAACATATATTAATTGCCTTATATCCATTATTTTATTTGACCCTCCTAATAACAGTATGACAGAGAGTTTACAAAGATGAGTAAACTTTAGCTCAGGAAGACAAAATAACTTTTCTAATGTCACACATCTGGTATGTAGCAAGGTGAAGATTGGAACTTAGACTAGCAGGAGTCTTAAACCAGTTATCTTAACGACTACTCTGCTCCATTCATCTCAAACTGTTGATTACCCTTCCGGAATTATTTATAAGCTGAACTCACTACTTAATATTTCCACATTTGGTACATATCATAGTACCAAGCCCTTTCACATAGGCTTGTTGAGTGAATAAATAAGTGACAAAAGACTAAATGAAGAAAAACTAGGATATCTTAAACTTACTGAATATACTCTCTCTAAATGTGTCTGCTTTGTTTTTGCTACTTGTAAAAATTGCTTTCATATTTAGACTTAAAAATAATTCAGAGTCAGACATGGTGGCTCACACCTGTAATCCCAGGACTTTGGGAGGCTGAAGTGAGTGGATTACCTGAGGTCAGGAGTTCGAGACCAGCCTGGCCAACATGGAGAAACCCCGTCTCTACTAAAAATACAAAAATTAAACGAGCATAGTGACATGCACCTATAGTCCCAGCTACTCAGGAGGCTGAGGCAGGAAAATCACTTGAACCTGGGAGGCGGACGTTACAGTGAGCTGAGATCACGCCACTGCACTATAGACTGGGTGACAGAGTGAGACTATGTTTAAATAAATAAATAAATAAATAATATTCAGAGAAAGCAGAATTTGTGTCAGGTCAGTTGCCATAAAGTAAATTTTACCCAGTGCAACACTATCAATATCAGTGCAACAATGCAGGGGTCAAATGTTCATATATTTACTACAACATGCAAGGGCATAAATGAAGACAGGAGGAATGGGAACAAGTTTTTTAAATCCTCTAAATTAGACCTGTTAGAGGGAAACACACCTGAAATAAAAGGTAAAGTGATCCAGTGTAAACTCGTTTTATGAATGTGAATTTTGGCAAAATACCAAGGTATTTGGAAACTGATCAAATTCCTTTTACCTCCAGGAAAGAACAGTAGGGAGGTATAATATCTTCATTAATCAAGAAGAACATATCCAAAAACCATCTGAAAATATCCATAATTTCTTGGATTATGCATGCAAATAATGGCTAGGAAAGTTTTTTTCTCCTATAATATTGTTTTACTTGGTGAGGGTTGAATGGAGGAACTAAGAGGAACCACAGATTTGTAAAGCAAATACAATCAGAGAGGGTGAGGCTGGATGCAGTGGCTCACACCTGTAATCCCAGCATGTTGGGGAGATGAGGTGGGAGGATCACTTGAGGCCAGGAGTTCTAGGCCAGCCTGGGCAACACAGCAAGATTCCATCTCTACAAAACAGAAAAGTTAGCTAGGCATGGTGGCCCATGAGTGTAGTCCCAGCTACTCAGAGGCTGAGGTGGGAGGATTGCTTGAAGCCAGGAGTTCCAGCCTAGCCTGGGCGATAGAGTGAGATCTTATCTCTAAAAAGAAAGAAGGAAAGAAGGAAGGAAAGGAAGAGAGAAAGAGAGAAGAGAGAATTAGCAAATAAAAAATATAGTGAGTTTCTGGAGAATTTCATCAAGAACAAACATGGAATTCTAATCTTTATTACCACATGAAATTCTTCCTGGGTCACCCAAGGAAGTTGGACATTGGATGTTGGGTAGACATGGCTTAAGACTCAACTGCTTTATCTATTAATCCTGTGAGTAACAGATAATAATAAGGGTAATGAATCTTTTCTACTTCAAAAAGATGTTTTGCATATAAACTAATTAATGATGATAAAGTGTTACATCTTATTAAGTTTATTATGATCATTTTCTCATGATGAAGAGATAGATTTTGAAATGTGGTGTTCAGTAGGTGGCGTTCTCCCCTCTGGATCTACAACAAGTTTCAGCTGTGCTCTAGAGACCATCTCTGACACCTTGTTGCTTCTGACTGTCGAAACAATAGTATTTACTACCATTTTCCTCCAGATTCATGAAACACTTAAGGTCATAGCTAATATTTGATTATGACTTGAATATCATTTGCATAAGCTTTGACATTTGCTCCATAAGTAAAATAGTATGTCATCAAATCTATATTTTCAAGTATATTTCTACATATTATATTAATTCTAAATTGTATTAATATAAATAAAATAAATATATAAACTAAATTTATATTTATCATATAAAATATATTTATGTGAATATATACATATAACAAAAATATAAGAGTAGCCAGCATTTAGTTAGGTACTATTTAATTGCCTTATATTATTTGATTAAATGCATTCAACAGTCCTTTTTCTTTAACATTGATAGAAAATTAATTTACTTTTTTTCCATTTCATATGAGCAGGAGCATTGAGTTCAACTTTCTTTTTAAGTACTTTGGACTAGTAAATACTCAAAACAATGCCACCAGACTCCCTAAATACCTTGGTCATGGGCTGTTTCACTTCATCAGAACTGTCTGAATAAATCTGCAAAGGCAATTTGTTTAAAGATGCATCTGTCTCCAGTTTTCATTCATCTTCATCGAATCCAACCAATTTATCCCAATTTTTGGTTTAACACAATGAATGGATCTAGGGTCTTTGCATCTGCAATGAGCTCTTTAGCTTAAGCACATCTGATGTGGTTTGGATGTTTCGTCCCCTCCAAATCTCAGGCTGAAATGTGACCTCCAGTGTTGGAGGTGTTTGGGACATGAAGGCAGATCCCTCCTGAGTGGCTTGGTGCTGTCCTTACGGTAGGAGTTCCCAGGAGATCTGGTTGTTTAAAAGGACCTGGCTCTCTCTTGCTCTGCCTCCCGCCATGTGCTGCACCACGCCCCCTTTGCCTTCTGCCGTGAACATAAGCTCCCTGAGGCCTCACCAGAAGCCAGACAGATGCTGGCACCGTGCTGGTACATCCTGCAGAACCGTGAGCCAAATGAGTCTCTTTTCTCTGTAACTCACCCAGCCTTAGGTTCTTCTTTATGGCGATGCAAAATGGACTAATCCAACATCTCTAGGGGAATTTTTTTTTAAATTTCACTTTACAGATGAGTAACTGAGGAGCAAAGATATTAAGCAACTTGCCCACTGTCACACAGTAGACTGGAGCCAAATTTGAACCCAGATTTCATAGTCTGAATCTAAACCCAGCCTCTGAACTGCTAAACCTCACTCCCTCCTGTACCGCCTACACAAAATCCAATAGCCAGGACAAAATACAAAACACAATTCATTTTGAACACAGAATATAAAATTTACGTTTCTTTTATGACAATGATCATGGAAAATTGTGATTGATATACGCAAAAATGTGGTGATATTTTGGAACTATTTCCCTAAAAAAAGTTGTAGTTAGATTGTTTGGATAACAAATAAGCTTTTTGTTTATGTAGACAACTATATGTTCTCCTACTGCTAAATTTATAAATGATGTTTTTGTTTTCCTTGCCTATTAATTCAAGGAGTGTCTGTATAAGGAACAGCTTGGGAGGGAGGAGCAGCCAGAAATGGATTATTGGCTTCAGAACTTCTGGATGAAGTTTCCTGGAGATAATGACAATGCCAAGCCTCTGTACTTTTCCTCCCCAGGTGGGGAGTTTGGCCCCAGGACATTGTTCACGTGATGGAACTTATTGGCAAGTGAACACAGAGAAATGAGTGCAGACAGTTTCAGAATGCCAGGTGCCACTGTATTATCACCTTGAGTATTTTAATCCTACTAGCAACATTTTGACCATCAACCTTTATATATACTACTGAATTATTATGTGACCTTCGCCAATAAAACTATAACACAAATTTTGATTCAGGTTTTATTTGTCTTTTTCCCCAATATAGAATATGATCAATAACCAAAAAAAAAAAAACAAAAAACCCAAATATATGGGCTCTGACCTGTCACAAGAATATAGGAATCACTAAATTGTTTTAAAAAGATAACACTTAGCTATAACTGCAGATTTTTTTAAGTTCATGAAGGGGTAGGCTTCATGAAAGATGTACCAGGAAAAAAAATAATGGTTCTTGTCCTCATATAAAACTCACTGGGGCCTGATTGACAGTGGAGGGTAGAAGATCAAAAAACTACCAATTAAGCACTATGCTCTTTACCTGTGTGACAAAATAATCTGTACGCTAAATACCCGCAACACGCAATTTACGCATGTAACAAACCTGTACATATATCCCCTGAACCTAAAATAAAAGTTGGGGGAAAAAAAAAACTTAATTGCAGACTCAAAGAAATTGGAAAAGTAGTCCCATCTTTAAAGAAAACCAGGAAACCCTGTGGTTTCTGCTTTTTTTTCGCTTTTTCAATGATGACTGATAGAATTCTTGCTGTCTATAACCGAAAAGCCTAGATCACACTGAAGTAAGGAGGGATTCCGCAGTTCAGACATGAACCTCATCTGTTTTTTTTTTTTCCTTTCTCTTTTGTACCTTCTGCAGGGCTGGCTCATCCCACAGCACCCTATATGTCCCCAATACTGCCACCCCTCCTTCCAGAATACAAGTTTTCTTATTTATGGCCACAGGAAAGGGGCTCGGTTTTATCTTTAAAATAGAAATAAACTGGGCATGGTGATGCACGCCTGTGGTCCCAGCTAGCGGGAGGCTGAGGCGGAAGAATCACTTGAGCCCAGGAGTTTGAGGCTGCAGTGAGCTATGATCGCATCACTGCTCACTCATTAGTTCAAGTTAACTAATTAATTAAAAATAAATAGGACTCAATCAAAAAATGTAAAAGATGGAGAAAAGAAAAAAATAACTGAAATGCATTTTAAAATGCAAATTATATAGATAGGCGGAATATGTTGCTTTTCAAGAAATAGGTCAGAATCCTATAAGAGCCATAATTGTGGATAACAGGGCTGTAATGAGTCACTAAGGAAAAAATCAGAGATACTAGGAGAGGTTTCAGGTTGTTGCAGGGGGAGTGGTGGTCGATTTTGCAAACAGTCTCTCTTGGGAAACATCCTTTTGGCGGCTGCCATGCAGCATTGCATTTCTTTTTCTTTTCTTTTTTTTTTTCGATTTTTTTAAACTTTTAAGTTCAGGAGTACATGTGCAGGTATGTTACGTAGGTAAACTGTGTCATGGGGGGTTTGTTGTCACGGGGGTTTGTTACGTAGGTAAACTGAGTCCTGAGGGTTTGGTTATTATTTCATCACCCAGGTATTAAGCCTAGTACCCATTAGTTATTGTTCCTGATCCTCTCCCTCCTCCCACCCTCCACCCTCCGATAGGCCCCAGTGTGTGCTGTTCCCCTCTATGTGTCCGTGTGTTCTCACCATTTAGCTCCCACTTATGAGTGAGAACAGCAGCATGGCATTTCTTTCTTTTGAGACGGAGTCTCACTCTGTCGCCCAGGCTGGAGTGCAGTGGTGCCATCTGGGCTCACTGCAACCTCCACCTCCCGGGTTCAAGTGATTCTCCTGCCTCAGGCTCCTGAGTAGCTGGGATTACAGGTACCCGCCACCACACCAGGCTAATTTTTTGTGTTTTTAGTAGAGACGGGGTTTCTCCATATTGGCCAGGCTGGTCTCGAACTCCTGACCTCAGGTGATCCACTGGCCTTGGCCTCCCAAAGTGCTGGGATTACAGGCGTGAGCCACCACAACCGGCTGGCAGGGCATTTCTTACTGTATCTAGGATTGGTGAGATGGCCCCTGGATATGATCCTTCTGCTGAGGTAAAAAAAAAAAAAAAAAAAAAAAAGTGGCTGGGCTTTGAAATAGTGGGTCTCACATTGAGTTTTAAGGTGCATAGTTACTGAATTGTGACAATTAACTCTCAGCAGGTGACACGGGTTAGATAAATCACAATGTTATATACTCTTTAACACTGTATTTTGGAATGATATATATTTTGTACCACTACAGTTTTATAACGACATTTTCTCAAACTTATTTCAAGTTCGTCAAAGGCCATCTTCAAACTTGAGCTTAACAAAACACCCTGAAGAAATTCTAAAGGGACAATCAACAGAAAATTCTGAAAATTTTTTTTAATTTTTTGCCTTGAAATGGTAAAGTCCCATAACAACAGCTTGAATGGATTAACTTTATCCCAGTCACATATACAAGTCACTTATCTATAAATCACTTATGTAAAACATGTATACTTGGAATGACTTGAAAGAAACATGAAATCCGTCTCCATTATCTCACCTGTAAAGTGGAGATGATAACACCACCTCTAACTCATTCGGATGAGGAAAATGTATGTGGAAGTTAGAGCTCAGAAGAAAAAGCTGTTAGAGCACACTTGATTCAAATACTTCTCTTTAAAAAAAATTTTTTTTTAATTTATTTAGAGACAGGGTTTTGCTCTGTTAGCCAGGCTGGAGTGCAGTGGAGTGATCAAAGCTCACAGCAGCCTTAACTCTTGGGGTCATGTGAGGCTCCCACCTCAGCCTACCCAGTGGCTGGGGCTAGAGGTGTGCACCACTACACCCGGCTAGTTTTTTCTACTTTTTGTAGAGACAGGGTCTCTCTGTATTGCCCAGGCTGGTCTGGAACTCCTGGTCTGAAGCCATTCTCCCACCTTGACCTCCCAAAGTGCTGGGATTACAGGTGTGAGCCACTGCCCACAGGTGTGAGCTACAGGTGTGAACCACTGCACCCAGCTTTTTTTTTTTTTTTTTTTTTTGATTTGGTGAAGCTATCATCGTCAAGCTAAGATACAGTTTCTGGAGGAATATACTGAGTAACGAGAGAGAAGGAAGAGACACATGCATAGGGTTAGGGTTAGAGCTAGGGTTAGGGTTAGGGTTAGGGTTAGGATTAGAGTTAGGGTTAGAGCTAGGGTTAGGGTTAGGGTTAGAGCTAGGGTTAGGGTTAGAGCTAGGGTTAAGGTATCAACACAGAGAGTCAGCCTGAAATCAGACTGCCCTCTGCACCTCTGAGTTCTATCACTCTGAGAAACATTGAAGTATCGCAGAAATTCAGAGCAGAAATTCCCGTTCTGAAAACTTCAAGTTGAATCTGCAGAAGAGGGACAGTTAACGCTCCACCCATTTTGGATATCCCCCCCCTTCTCTGCTGAAATGTTCACGGACCAGGGAATAGTCTCACATTCTCTCATTGTTCTCTAATCCACCAATCCAGTGGAATAAGCACATTCCTACCTTGGGATCTTTTCTTTTTTTTTACATTTTTTTTATACTTTAACTTTTAGGGTGCATGTGCACAGCATGCAGGTTAGTTACATATGTATCCATGTGCCATGTTGGTGTGCTGCACCCAGTAACTCGTCATTTAACATTAAGTGTATCTCCTAATGCTATCTCTCCCCCTGCCCCCACCCCACAACAGGCCTACCTGGGGACATTTTCATTTGCTTTTTTTTTTTTTTTTTTTTGAGATGAAGTCTTGCTTTGTCACCCAGGCTAGAGTTCAGTGGAAAAATCTCAGCTCACTGCAACCTCCACCTCTCGGGTTCAAGTGATTCTCATGCCTTAGCCTCCTGTGTATCTGGGATTACATGCACCCACCACATAATTTTTGAATTTGTGGTAGAGAGGGGTTTTCACCATGTTGGCCAGTCTGGTCTCAAACTGCTGACCTTCAAGTGATCTGCCCACCTCAGCCTCCCAAAGTGCTGGGATTACAGGCGTGAGCCACCATGCCTTGCCACGTCTTTGCTTTCTTCTGGTCTCTTCTTAGGTGAAACTACCATGGAGGCCTCTCTTGACCACTACCTTAACATAACAGACTCCACTTTCCCCACCCTGCACAGCATGTCATGCCCACTTTCCCTGACTTCCTCAGATGCTTCTGGCTTATTTAACAACCAGCAGTCACTTATCAGATGATTCCTGTATGCCAGGATGTGCTAAACAATTCATACACCATGATTCTAAATCCTCTCCATGGCACTAGAAGATAAATATCTCCATAGTACAGAGAATGGCACTGATTTTAGAGAGATTAAGGAACGAGCCCCAAATCACGGGGCACAACCACCAGGTAATCCACCACCAACCAACATCAATTAACTGAGCATCTACTATGTGGAAGGCATTTTTCTGAGTAAGAATATAAAATTGGCCGTGCTTCATCTCTGCTTCTGAAGGAGCTTCCAATCTTAGTTGAGAAGAAAAGCCAGAACAAAGCTTATCACTATATGCGACAAGTGAATGGAACAGACAAGAACTGCAAGAATTCAAAAGAGGGAAGAATCTGTGTAGAACAGAGGCAGGGAGACTTCACAGACAAGATGAGACTTGAACAACTGAAAAGGAAAAGTATCATCTTAATAAATGGAGGGGCAATCCAGGCAGGGGAGAGTTCACTTTTAAAAATGCATTGGTTCGTAGATAGATAGTATATTAAACAGGCTCTAGGTAAAAGTAGATTTTTTAAAAAGGAACTTAAGAAAACCAGATATCTGTATTGCTTTTTAAAGATATTCAGAATAAATCTAAAACACATATAGATGGAGGATGTTGTGAAATGATGTATCTGTGTAAACTAGAAAAAATGAATGGGTGAGAAAGCACCTGTTGTAATCCTCTTTCTGTTGTCTTGGGGGAGAACTCCTGTAAGATTCCAGATTTTTGTGTAGTAAACTGGAGTTGCTGACTATGATTTTTATATGTGTACATTTCATCTTGTCACAGAGTTCTAAGAAGAGTTTTTCCCCAGACAAGCACTGGTAAATGACATTTATTGTCTCCATGATTTGAGTTCAAAATTGGTTCAGTTTTACAAGTTAAAACACCATCCTTCTAACTGCCAACAATACACACTCAACCTGGGATTTGAAAATCCTAGTGGTAGTTTTCTGCTTCTTACCTCATTGTGACCTGCAAGAAAGATCCTGTGATGAAAAGTTAGCTGACAATTGAGTTTGTTATGCCTGTAGCAAAAATATCCAGTGCCTTCTCCCATAGCTGTGCTGCTTCTGCCCTTCAAAACAAGTGTTTCACTTGTTTCAGATAGCAAAGTTGCAAAGTGTTTCTTGAGACAACCAAAGACTAGATCGGTGGTTCTCAACCTTGGCTGCTCAACAGACTGTCTGCGGGGTGAGACTTGGGTATCTACATATTTTTAAAGCTCCCAAGGTGAATCCGACGTAGAGCTAAGGTTCAGAATCATTGTTCCATTTTTCTGGTGGTTTCAACCCTGCATCACCTGAGAGATTTTACAAAAACATCAACATGTAGATGCCACCCGGCAGAGATACTGATTCCATTGGTCTGAGAACAGCAATATTATAAAACTCCTAATGTCATTCTAATAGGCAAAGAGTGTTAACTCTTATTGATACTAATTTCATATTGTCGTTTTCATCATGCATTTCTTTATTATGAAAGTGTTGGTCAATTATAGTCAGGCCCTCAGTAATATGAAAACCCAAAAGCAAAGGGCTAATGCTGGCCCCAAGGTTGGGAAGGAGAAGGGGACTCCATCTTTTGACCCTGGAGTCCTCCTCAAAATGTGTTTTTCAACCAATTAGACAAATTATAATACCTAGACCAAGGCTAACCACAGGCCAGATATTTATGGTGAACATTTGGCAAGGGTAAGTTCTTTGTTTTTCAGAAATTTCAGGTTCAGAAATATCAAGCCTGCAAAAAATTTTCCCTAAACTCTTGTTTGGGCCAGAAGAGAAGGGAGATGGGATTTTTGGATTCTCCTTATTTTGCAACCTTATTTTTAAACATAGAAAATAAAAAACCTTTCTTTTAGGTTCTGGGGTATGTGTGAAGATTCGTTACATAGGCCAATTTGTGTCACCAGCGTTTGTGGTACATATTATTTCATCACCCAGGTATTAAGCCAGTACCCAACAGTTATATTTTCTTCTCCTCTCCCTCCTCCCACCCCTACCCTCAAACAGAACCCCCAGTGTCTGTGGTTCCCTTCTTTGTGTTCTTGAGTTCTCATTGTTTTGCTCCCACTTATAAATGAGAACATGGAGAACACGCAGTATTTGGATTTGCTTCTGCATTAGTTTGCTAAGGATAATGACCTCCAGCTCCATCCATGTTCCCACAAAAGACATGATCTCATGCTTTTTTTACGGCTGTAAAGCCTTCTTTTTCTCCTCTCTGCTGATGGCACAGGACTATCAAACAGCCTGCTGATACTTACATTCTGATATCAACTCCTAATACTCAGCATGTCCAAAACCAAGAGTATCTTCTACTCCCACTAGATCATGTCCACCTTGTAATTTCATTATCCCTAGAAGTGGCACCACATGGCACCACAATATTTTTTCTGCCCAGACTCAAAGCTCAGTGCCACTTAGTGTGGCTTTTCTTGTTTTCCCGGTCAAATCAGAAAACGCATAATGTAAGTTATTCACCTTACAGATCTAATGTCCATTTGTTCCTTTCCAGCTCTACGATCTACACCACACTAAACTCTCTTTCTTTTCCAAATGTGAATTATTGAATCTTATCATCCTATTTCTCCCTCACTTCCCATGTTTAGTGTCTTTCATACGTCACCGGCACACTACACTTGCTTAAGTATACTTTTCGCCTTGTCACTTTCCTGTGTATAAACCTCCCCTGTCGGGTGCGGTGGCTCACACATGTAATCCCAGCACTTTGGGAGGCCGAGGGTGTGGATCAAAAGGTCAGGAGTTCGAGACCAGACTGACCAAGATGGTGAAACCCCATCTCCACTAAAAATACAAGAAAGAAATCACCGGGTGTGGTGGCAGATGCCTGTAATTCTAGATACTCAGGAGGCTGAGGCAGGAGAATCTCTTGAATCTGGGAGGCGGAGGTTGCAGTGAGCTAAGATCGCGCCACTGTACACCAGCCTGGGCGACAGAGCAAGACTCTGTCTCAAAAAAAAATACCTCCATTTTCCACCACTCCTAAAGGAAGCCTTCTTTTTCTCAAGATACATCATCCATGGATTTTACGATACTCTTCATATCTTATATTCCCAACCAGTCCCATAATCATTTCTTTCCTTATTTCTCCATTATCCCTAGACTGGCCTCCACACTCCCTTCTCTGCCCCCAAATCCTCTCTATGCTTACCTTCCTGATAAGGTAGATATAAAAGCCACTGTCTCAAGGCGCATTGTCTTAAAGATCAGGGCAAGGATTTACCCAGGCTGAAGTTAATGGTTAGATGACTAACCCTATCAAGCTTATTATAAACTACATTTTACATTTGGGACAGAATCAAGAACACCCATGGGAGCCAGCTGGAGTTGACACCCATTTCCACTGGAACCACCTACGTGTTTTCAGTTCTGCTGACCCAGATTCTGGGACTCTTGTCAACTTCAACAGCTGCTTATTCCAGGGAAATTCAGAGGAACAAGAATCAGAAGAGAGTCATGCTCCAGAACCATGGAGCCCTGAAAAGTAGGGCCTCCCAAAAATACGGTAAATAAAGATTAAAAATCAAAGGAAAGTACAGCTTGCCTCACATGAGTGGGCCTGCGATCTCAGTGAAAGACAGTCGAGACCCATGAAGCATATACAATATCATGAAGCACACGACATGAGCGTTTGTAATTTGAACATTTATAGGGGACACAGAAAGTATCCGTTGTTTGGAATTAATTTTACAGGTCACTGCTGTTACATGAAATCATTCTGGATGGCTCCTCTTAGGATGAAAAAGTTTGAGTGGCAGTTTCCATGGGGTTTCTGCGGAAAGCCAAAAGCCTCCCTGGAAAAGAAGCACTGCACAGCATGTGATGGCTAGCAATGTGAAATTGCCCTGTGGTCCCGCACCTTGTGAGAAGGTCCCCAGATCATTCCTACAAGGGTTGTGTGTTTGTGTTTCCATTTTCTTTTCTTTTTCCTTTTTTTATTTTATTTTATTTTATTATACTTTAAGTTTTAGGGTACATGTGCACAATGTGCAGGTTAGTTACATATGTATACATGTGCCATGCTGTTTTGCTGCACCCATTAACTAGTCAATTAGCATTAGGTATATCTCCTAAAGCTATCCCTCCCCCCTCCCCCCACTCCACAACAGTCCCCAGAGTGTGATGTTCCCCTTCCTGTGTCCATGTGTTTCCATTTTCAATTTGGACCTGTCAGGGTATGCCGGCCAGGGCCAATTTTTATCTCCCTGTGATGTCAGATCTTTGTAGGATTTTTGTTTCTTTTCGATGTTGAATCACCCGGTGTTGTATATGGCTGTTCCTATTAATAAAATGTGTTCTGCTGACTTTGGGGATCTATTTCTTTTCATTATTTTCAAAAGAAACATTGAATTGCTTTTCCGGAGCACAGTTTTCAATCCCTTCTGCCTTTTTCTTGCACGTACGCTGTTGTCATTGAGGTTACGGAGCTTGGGAAGAAAAGAAATTTCAAGAATAGAAGTGGAAGTCATGTTATGAATAAAATGTATGTGATGAGTTTTTTCACCAACAGAAAGCAGCTTTCCTGATGCCTTCCACAGTTGAGAACATCCTCTGGGCTCCCTTTACACCACGCTTGGTTCAATCGTAGCACCTATTATCCTGCATAAAATTTCCCTCCTTGCCTCACTCTGTGTTTCCCACTGGGCAGGAATGTCCTTTAGGATGAGAACTGGGTCATTTATCTGCATTTTCATTGCCTGGAACAGCACTCTATAACTGTTTGTGGAATGAATCAGAGATATAATTATGTGCTTTTACACGTACAGGAATTGGAACACATATTTATATAAGGATATAATGAAAAAAGAAAAAAAAAATGGAACTATGGTAAAATGAAAAGGAGATGCTAGAACAGAAACCAGTCCCTGAGGTGGGTAAAATATTAGAAAAGGCTATAGGAAAATTTGAGGCAGTTGGCTTTTACTTCTCAGAAGCACGGACGAGTTCATACAAGAAAAACTAACATGACAGGGACATTCTTCTGTAAGGCCAGCTGAGATCATACACCTAGTGCCCCTCCTGTAGTGACAAGTAAAGGGACCTGAAGTTTTTCAGTCAAGGGAGGAAACTGTCACAGGGAGTGAACCAACGAAAATAGTTGAAAAGGTTGAAAGTGAAAGGGTTAGGGTTTTTATTGGAATGTAGTATGTGCACTAAAGCTTATCTGTGGACAAACTTTGGATTTTACGAAAATCAAATAAAGCAGACTAAATCGAATGAACTTTTTGGCACCAGCTATAAATACTGTGGTGGTATTTGAAAATAGGTATCTTAGGACCTCTCCATAAGGAAGCAGAGATCTTTGCAGGAGCTCCTTTGAAATACCCCCTCAGAATGCAGGGTTTGAAGTGTTCTGAGGAGAAGTTGTACATAGTTTTTAGTGGGTGCAGACTCTGGAGTCGGACGACCTGCATTCCCATCTCAGATCTGCTGCTACTGGCTGTGTGACTGCAGAAGGTTTTTAATCTCTCTGAACCCAGTTACTTCCCATGAAAGATGTGGTACCCATCTCATTTGGCTTTTGTGAAGATTCAACAGATTGACATGTAGCAAGCAGTCCACAGATACTGGTTGTTTTTGTAATAATCATTCTATCTAGTATTGTTTCAACTTATGTTCTACAGAAGACCATTAGCTGCTATTCAGTAGCTCCCTAATGAGGCTACCGATGCTGAGAGACTGCTGGTATATCTGTAGGTCTTTACTTCTGACACCAGGGGAAAAGAGTCTTGTCTTCCCAAAAATGTTCTTGCATGGTCCAAAGGTGATGGGTCAGTAAAAGAAAAAGGAAAAAAAAAAAGGTGATGGGTTTGATAGAGCATGAATCAGAATTAATCTGATTAGTCTGATGATGAATTGATTTGATCAATAGTTCATATTTTTGATGCAAAATATAAAATATAAAATTTCAAAACAATGGAGGGAATTAAAGGGTTAAAAGACAATAAACCAAATTGTTAACTGATTTTATCTCTGGGCGAAGAAATTACATGTCATTTTTCTCTTTCTTGTTTATACTTTTTTTTTTTTGAGATGGTGTTTTGCCCTTGTCACCCAGGCTTGAGTGCAATGGTACGATCTTGGCTCACAGCAACCTCCACCTCCTGGGTTCAAGAAATTCTCAGCCTCCCAAGTAGCTGGGATTACAGCCACATGCCACCATGCCTGGCTAATTTTTTTTTTTTTTTTTTTTTTTTTGTATTTTTAGTAGAGACAGGGTTTCACCATGTTGGTCAGGCTGATCTTGAACTACTTACCTCAGGTGATCCACCCACCTCGGCCTCCCAAAGTGCTGGGGTTACAGGTGTGAGCCACTGCACTCCGGCTGTATTTTGTATATATTCCACACTTCAGTCAACATGAAATCCTAGGGGACAGGAGGATAAATTAATTTCAAATCATCAAGCTTATCTCAACAGAAGTTTGATTTTATTTTCTCCATTTACTGTTTTTTTTTCTTTTTTTTTTTTTTTCCATTATCTAGTGTTTTAAGACTGTTATCACTCCAGGAATGAATCCTCATACTTTATGTGTCAGACATAAAAATTCCCCAACAATGAGATTGCCAATTTGAGAGCCCAGGCATACTTAGAACACTCCTAGGGAATGTCCCCTAACATGTTTGACTTATCTGGAAAAATCATTGACTTTCTCTATACAGGCTTAGAGCAGGCTGTGATATTCTTTGTAGTATCTAGACATGACCACAATCACATTTTGTTGTTGCCTTGCAGGAAGGAACATATCTGAGATAGGCAGTTAGAAAGAAATTCAGGCCAGGCATAGTGGCGCAGGCCTGTAATCCCAGCACTTTGCGAGGCCGAGGCGGGAAGATTGCTTGAACTCAGAAGTTTGAGACTAGCCTGTACAAAAAATAATAAATTAGCCAGGCATGGTGGCACATGCCCGTAGTATCATTTACTTTGGAGGCTGAGATGGGAGGATCAATTGAGCCAGAGGAGGACAATGCTACAGTGAACCATGATCATGCTACTGCACTCCAGCCTGGGCAGCTGAGTGAGATCCTATTTCCCCAAAAATAAAAAATAAAATTAAAGGCCAGGCGCAGTGGCTCAAGCCTGTAATCCCAGCACTTTGGGGGACCGAGGTGGGTGGATCACAAGGTCAGGAGATTGAGACCATCCTGGCTAACATGGTGAAACCCCATCTCCACTAAAAATACGAAAAAATTAGCTGGGCGTGGTGGCAGGTGCCTGTAGTCCCAGCTACTTGGGAGGCTGAGGCAGGTGAATGGCATGAACCCAGGAGGTGGAGCTGGCAGTAAGCCGAGATCGCACCACTGCACTCCAGCCTGGGCGACAGAACAAGACTCCGTCTCAAAAAATAAAATAAAATTAAATTAAATTAAAAGAAATTAAAAATAAAAAAAGAAAGAGAGAAATTCAGATTAGAGGCTCAAAAGTATCACTGGGAACTTTTAAAAGCCTGGTAAAGCCCATCACATCCTTTAATAAAGCTATGTGTCAAGTAAGAAAGACTTCTTTCTGGCAGCATCCTCTCAGGTTCCAATAATCTAGATATTAAAGACCATTCCCATAGTCCTGATAACCATATAATTTGATCCATGTAGCTGACAACTTTACTATTAGATGACCTTGAATGTCCTCCAAGGGTCCTTAGTCTCATCCCTTAGAGGATTTGTGTTTAAAGAACATGTCTAGATTGTTTTACTGATAGGAATTCATAACACACCATCATGCTTTATTTTAAAATAAGACATATTTTGCTTATAAATCAACATCATTCATTCCATTAATTCTAGGCACATTTTTCCCCATGGAAAGTATGAAACATATGGCTCCAAGATGAACTATGGTCAGAAAAAGAACCAACATGGAGACTACTTACAGAGATAGAATCCCAATTTGAAGAGTTCATTTTTCCGTGATGGTGTGGCTCAAAAGAGCAGCAAAAGATGCACATTGTTGTCTGAGCTAACCGTCTATCTACATTATGGACAGCAAGTACCAGCACTGACATGGTGCATGTCTCCTCCATGCTCTGCCATTGAAGCCTCAGGGCCCAGCCCAGCATGGAGCGGGGTCTTAGCATTTGAGGTGAGACTCATTTGCCCTCCCTTGTCTTCATCATTATGATTAACCACGTAGTCATGAAGTTTATATTTTTACTCTTGAACAATAAAGACATTGAAGCATGGAAAAAACTAAACACCTAAAATACCCAGTGCTTAACTTTAGCTCACAAATCCCAGTAATTCCGTTTAGGATTATGGAATCTTCTGACTAGCTGACCATTTACCACGCCCCCCACCACTGCCCCAGGTAGCTAGAGTGAAGGGCATTCCAGCATCATATTTATTAATGCCACCTGATGTCTTAGAGCAGGGAATATTATATATACAAGGCATAGGTAATAAGAAGAGATGCAAAGGAAAGAAGGATAGGTTTGTGAATAGACCATGTTCTGTATGTCCATAAAATGACAGAAAAATGCCAAAATGGAGCCAAAGGTCAGCAAAAAGGACAAGATGAAGGGTTCACAATTCAAAGAGAGGCACACTCAAATTAAACAAGACATTTATCCAAAGGAAGCTGGGTGACAAAACACACTGAGTGTGGATGGCTACCAAAAAGGAAAAAAATCAGTGAGGTCGGGAGTGGTGGGTCACGCCTGTAATCCCAGCACTTAGAGCCAATCACTTGAGGTCAGGAGTTTGAGACCATCCTGGCCAACATGGTGAAACCCCATCTCTACTAAAAATACAAAAAATAGCCAGGCGTCTGGTGCACACCTGTAATCCCAGCTACTCAGGAGGCTGAGGCAGGAGAATTGCTTAAATCTGGGAAGCAGAAGTTGCAGTGAGCCAAGATCATGCCACTGCACTCCAGCCTGGGCAACAGAGCAAGACTCCATCTCAAAAAATAAAAATAAATAAAAATCTGTGAGATCCCAGGCAATTAGGAGTGCAGGGGTAATTCAGGTACCTGGACCTGAGTCCCAGCCTGACCTTAAATGGCTGTGTTTCCTTGTCCAACTCACATAGCTCTGTTCCTACACTGTTTCATGCTATGTAGGAAGGAAAACCTGGAAGTCAGTAAGATAAGGACGACTGGGCAAGGTAGCTCATGCCTATAATCCCAACGCTTTTGGAAGCCAAGGCAGGATGATCACTTGAGCCCAGGAATTTGAGACCAGCCTGGGCACAAGACCCAGCAAGACCCCTGTATCTACTTTAGAAATACACATATAGGAGGGAGCCCACTGGTGTTAGTGAATCTAGCAACGCCCTAACGAGTAAATCCTCTGCAATTGAAACTCCTCCACAATGGAGTTAGCCACATAAAATGAAACATCACAAGTTGCAGGAGAGACTGAACGCCAGCTCAGTGGAAATGCTCTACAATCTTTATGTACGTGCAGCTGGCCAGCAATGCGCTGCCACGAGAGGCTTCCAGGTGAAGAGTAGGTGAACCGACTACAGAGAAAGATGTTAAGCTGTTACCTGGCCTTTCCAGCCTCACTGCCATGGCCATGTTTTCTTCTTACACTTTATATTAACTACTAATGCAACAAAAATAGGAAAAAGACACTGATCATTTCCACGTGTAATGAATTCATTCATTCATGACATTTCATCATCAATGGTGTCAAAGAACTCCCTCAGCCAGACATCTGCCTTTAATTTCTAGCCATGGAATTCAAAGATTTTAAGCTTCATTGGAGGCATTTCTGACAATAAGCAGATAGACAACAGGAGTAGGTTTGAGGAATTTTCAGTGCAATAGTAGTTATGAGCCTAACTTTTTTTTTTTTTTGACAGGGTCTCGCTCTGTCACCCAAGCTGGAATGCAGTGGTGCAATCACAGCTCACTACAGCTTCAACATTCTGGACTCAAACAGTCCTCCCACCTCAGCCTCCCAAGTAGCTGGGACTACAGGTGCACACCACCACACCTGGCTATTTTATTTTATTTTATGTATTTACTTTTTGAGATGGAGTCTCGCTCTGTCACCCAGGCTGGAATGCAGTGGTGTGATCTCGGCTCATTGCAAACTCCACCTCTCAGGTTCAAGTGATTCTCCTGCCTCAGCCTCCCGAGTAGCTGGGATTACAGGTGCCCACCATCACACCTGGCTAATTTTTATATTTTTCTGTAGAGACAGGGTTTTGCCATATTGTCCAGGCTGGCCTCAAACTCCTGGACTCAAGCAATCCTTCCACCTCAGCCTCCCAAAGTGCCAGGACTGCAGGCAAGAGCCATTGCGTCTGGCACAAGCCTAGCTTTTAAGGGAACTGATTTGTTTTTTGCTGGGGAGTACAGGGGAGAAGGACACTCTGAAAGAAGATCCCACAGTGTCTTTGCTTTCTCCTCGTGAGGACACCCTGGCACCTGACTGGCTCCAGATAGCCTCATCCCAAAAATTGTTCCAAGCAGAAAGTGTGTGGTCTGGCTTGGTATCCTAGAGGGGAACACCCAGCACTCCCTCCAGAAGAGGCTTCTCAACTCTGCTCCTTTTACCGTCTGCTTTCTTGACTTTTAAGCTTTTCTTTGTCATTAGCTTTCCAGAAATATATTCTATGTCTTCTAACATAATTGGCCTATTTTAGCCTATGTTAAATTGTAATTTTCACCACAATGCCCCTCTAAGAACCCTATGACATTTGTATTTTTCCCACTCCTATAATCAAAACTCTTAGGCATCACAGAGAAACATTAAAACACATCCTATATATTATTAGAGACATTCCCATTTTTAGCTTTGCTACCTGAGTGTCCACTGAGAAACATTTTGTCCTCATTAGTGTGGAGAATACAAATAATTATGTCATCAGCGTCTATGTTCAAGGAGCTGAAACACTAACTGACTAAGCCTTAGAATGAACCAAAACGAACAAAACACTATTCATTGCCACTCATCTCTTCCTTAGAGTTGAAACCTAAGCTAATTAATTATCGACAAGTTACAGGTCTCAAACATAGCTTATGTCATGATGTTAGCCCAATAGCCCATGTGTAAAATAATGTAACATTCTAAGAAGAGAGTTAGGAAAATCACCCACAGCCAAAATAGAAAATATGTCAACTTCAGGCTTTGTTTTAATAAGACTTACTCAGTATTTTGTTTTGGTTCTTTGTAACCATTTTCATCTAAACAACTTGTTGTTATGTTTCTGTATTTATCGCAGTAATCATCAAAGGTCTGGATACGTTTTTGGTTGGTTGGTTGCTTGGCTGGTTGGTTGGTTTAAAGGGGGAGAGGTCTAGGAGTAGAGGAAGTAATTATTTTAAAATTACTCTGGAAATTATTCCTTAGAATAAATATTCTTAGTAAGGTAAGTGTTACCAGTAAGGTGTTAAAACATAAAACCCAACAACTTGTACACCTTTGGTGGCTGAGCAGTTCCTCCAGAAGTGAGAGCACTGTCAAGAATACTCCAGGTGGCCGGGCACGGTGGCTCACGCCTGTAATCCCAGCACTTTGGGAGGCTGAGATGGGCGGATCACGAGGCCAGGAGATTGAGACCATCCTGGCTAACATGGTGAAACCCCATCTCTACTAAAAATACAAAAAATTAGCTGGGCGTGGTGGCGGGCGCCTGTAGTCCCAGTTACTCGGGAGGCTGAGGCAGGAGAATGGCTTGAACCCGGGAGGCGGAGCTTGCAGTGAGCCGAGATCGCGCCACTGCACTCCAGCCTGGGCGACAGAGCAAGACTCCGTCCCAAAAAATAATAATAAAATAATAAAAATTAAAAAAGAATACTCCAGGCCTCTAAGAGTCAGTCCAGATGTGTAGGTATAAAGTATCTTTTTATAGATATAGGTCTCAAGTATATTTTGGTCTGCAAGTATTGAATAAATTATAAGAAAGCTATAACAAAATCAAAGAAAATGGGATGGAAAGGGACATCCAAAATGTACTTTTTCTCTTCTGCTGCCTTGAGGAATACTGCTCTTAAACTATTTCAGAGAGCTGGGCCTCTACATTGTACATATGCCATCTGAGGAAGCTAAGCTGTTTCCAGTCCACCAGCAACATATGCAAGTTATTATCATCACTTCCTGCTAATATGTGGCTTTATAATTAACTTTAATTCCTCCTTCTGTAATTTAAGCAAACTTCTCTACTTGTCTTCAATAAATATAGTGGCTTTTGTCCAAAGTTCTCTATATTGCAACACTTTTTGAGTTCAGTGGAGCTAACTTACTTCTCAATAGTCTTTTCTTTTTATGTAAACAATTCCAATTCCTTTCACTTTTATTTAATAATCCAATTTCCCAACACTTGAACCATCACTGCTTCACTCCTTTATTTTTTTTTCCATCTTTGGCTTAGTGTTAAATTGAGGAGTTCAAAGTGTGACAGTTTCAGTAGAGAATTATTACAACCTTAGTTTTGATACATACCAAAATTCAATGGGCAGATTCTCGGGGTCACGTTGAAAGTCGACAATGAATATTTGGGCTCCAGATTGATTACAAAAGCAGTAGGATATTATGCTGGCCCACAAAGTCAAGCATTCCCAGAAAGGAAGGTTTAAATATGTCATATAATTTCTGGTATCCACAATATTTGAGATATTTAGAGGAACATTGAATTTAAGACAAAGTCTGCGCCCTCGTGAAATTTATAATCTATGCAGAAAGGATTGGCAAATAACTAATACAAGAATAAGTGCTAAGGAAAGGGATTTGCCAAGTGATTAACCAAAGATTCAGAGAAGGAATAAATAATTTTGTATGGAAAGGAGTGGCAGGAGAGGGAGTGGGTAACACTGTGTCTTACATACCACCAATCATGGCTCAGTTCCATACCGCATGGCAGGGCAGCCCAGGAGAGGCCACCACTCAGAGCGGGACATGTCACCTGGGGTGGAGCAGTCATGGTGAAACAGAGCCAGCACCAGGTGCTGGGGAAAAAAAAGTCTGGTCCAACAGGCAGAACATGATACATAGAGAGAACTGGAAATAACAATCGGTGGTAATCCAGACTGCCATTCTCAGGGATAAGGAAATAGAGGAATGAGACAGCACATTAAGAGAATGAAGAGGGAAAAAAGGATTCACCAAAAGGAAAGGAGGATTCTGACTCACAGATGGAGAACAGCAGGAAGGCGAAAAGGAGAAATAACCAGGCACAGTGGCTCACGCCTATAATCCCAGCACTTTGGGAAGCCAAGGCAGGAGGATTGCTTGAGGCCAGGAGTTCCTGGCCTCAAGAGACTGAGGTGGGAAGATGAGCCCAGGAATTTGAGAATGCAGTGAGCTATGATGTGCCACTGCACTCTAGCCTGGGCTACAGAGCGAGACCCTATCTAAAAAAAAAGAAAAAAAATAGAAAAGAAAGAATTAAAAAGAGGAGAAATTATATTTGGAACTAGAAAGAAGTAGCAAAGCCATGGAGGACCACAGGTGCGATGCTGGGGCAGAAACGTAGTGGAATGATAGTTGTGAATGTTCCCCACAAGGTGTGTCTGGCATAGGGACATCACATGTATTAACTCAACCTTCACAGCAATGTCATTTAGTAGGTACTATTACTGCCGTTTTACAGGTTAGAAAGCTGAGGCACACAGAGAGGGCAAGTAACAGGCCTGAAGTTACACTGCTGGTGAGTCACAGAGCCATGCTTCAAACCTAGCCTCCTGGCTTCCGAGCCCAGCACTTGGCCACGGCGCTGTGTAGGCTGGCTGGGGCTTGAGTGCTTCCTGGATGTTTATGGAATATTTTCAAGAGAAATATTTTCCTGAGAGCCGACGCCTCCTCTGAAACCCTGCAGCCTTCTCAGCAGGAAACAATCAGGTAGGTTTTCCCTTATTCAGCCGTAGTGAAAGGCACATCACAGGCCCAGAACTGCATTTTGTTTCCAATATTTCAGGCACATATAGGAAGGATAGAAGCATAAGAAAAGGAAGGGGTTGGGAGAAACGTCATCTCACTTTAAATATTTCCTCTATGAATGAGATATTTTGTCTGAATAAAAAGAAAACAGACAGAAGACAATGAAAACAATATGTGATATTGAAAGGCCAGTTTTCTAAGCCAAGCTAAAATTAAAATTTTAAAGCCAAGTTAATCCAAAGAAAGAAAAGGCAGTTAAGAGCCGTAAGAATACATCCACCACCTACCCAGCACTTTAACCACTGAATTTCCTTTCAGTCCCCTTTCCTGCGGGGGAAAACTGTCAAAACCAAGAAGTTAGAGGAGGAAACAAAAAAAAGGAAAACTGAGAGGTGGTCTTTGACTAAGTGAGGTTAAAGTGGAAGGCGGTCTCGCACTGACTTCAAGAAAAGTTAGAACAAGAAAAAGATGTTAAACTGGTGATAATATTTCAAATCCACCACTTAGTCATCATTTTACTACAGAAAAACACAGTTAGGTTCAAATGTGTTGACACAAATTTCAGTTTTACCACGCTGAGAAAAACGTAACTATTCTCTCTAAATCATGTTTACTTTTTTCTTTTTCTTATATTTTTTTCTTTTTTTTTTTTTTTGCTGGTGAAGGTTTTACTTCCTATAAAGAAATTGGAGCTGGGCACGGTGGCTCATGCCTATAATCCTAGTACTTTAGGAGGCCCAGGCAGGAGGATTACTTGAGTCTAAGAATCCAAGACCAATCTGGGCAACAAAAAGAGACCTGGTCTCTAGAAAAAATACAAAAATTAGCTGGGTGTGGCTAGCAGTCCCAGCTACTCAGGAGGCTAAGGTGGGAGGATCACTTAAGCCCAGAACGTCAGAGGCTGCAGTGAGACATGAGTATCCCACTGCACTCCAGCCTAGGTGACATTGCAGAGAAAGAGAGAGAGAGAAAGAGGGAAGAAAGGAAGGAAGGAAGGGAGGGAGGAAGGAAGGAAGGAACTGGGATTGACATGTGGAATGACTTTCTAATTTTTTCAGTTGCTTTCCTTTTTATTAAATTTAATTTTCCTGGTGGAAATGTAGCAAGCATCAAATATAATTTTTTTTCAGAGACTTGAAACTCTAACTGAATTTTTAGAAATGGCTGAGGCTGTGTCCATCTGGGCCAACAATTTCAGCCATTTGGGGGATCCGTGCAGCACGACAGGTCAATTCTACAGTGGTAATCAGTGTCACTCATCAAGACAGACAAGTGATCGATTGTTATGTGGCAATTTGCCATGGAAGTGGGAGATACTAACCAGATATTGCCCAAAGAACTGTAAACTGGTTCACTCATAATTTAGAAACATGAAGCATGAAATGAAACATAGAGTTCACAAGAAAGTACAAAACATCATATTGAATCAGCCTATGGACCCATCCAACCCAGGATCCAGTGCTTGCCCCTGTTCTAAAATATGCCAGAGCAGGCCAGGCTTGGTGGCTCACACCTGTAATCCCAGCACTTTGGGAGGTCAAGGTGCGTGGATCATCAGGTCAGGAGTTCGAGACCAGCCTAACCGACATGGTGAAACCCCGTCTCTACTAAAAATACAAAAAAAAAAAAAATTAGATGGGCATGGTGGCGCACACCTGTAATCCCAGCTACTCAGGAGGCTGAGGCAGAAGAATCGCTTGAACCCAGGAGGCAGAAGTTGCAATAAGCCCATATTGCACCACTGTACTCCAGTCTGGGTGACAGAGTGAGACTCTGTTAAAAAAAAAAAAAAAAAGAAAAAGAAAAGAAAAAGCCAAAGCAGATGCTCCTTCCTTCCAAACCCCACCTGTAATGAGATCACATCAACACCACCATCTCAGACCCAACCAGAAGAACCAAGCTCACCCCTAACCTTGGCCCCACCATTCCAGGCTTGCCTGCCAGGGTGGTGGGTTAGCCCAATGCCCCTTGACTGCAGCCTGGGCTTCCACACCTCCAGTAGCTAACTGTTTTGGCTGGGAATGTAGCTGTTAGCCTTCAGCAGAGCTATTCATTTGCTGGACGTAGAAAGTTAAAACTATGCTCTATGTCAAGCTTTTAATGGACATTATCCTGGACAATTGTGTGAGTCTCCTAAGGTGTCCTCAGCCTCCACTTTTCCACTCTTCCTCAAGCACCATCGGGCCATCAATCCCTGACACATAACTTCACAGTGACCTTGTGAATTTAAATCAGATTGCCTCACTTGCTCCCAATATTTGTCAGAGACCAGTTAAGTGGTATAGAGAAAAGTTAAGTCTCTAAAGGAGACAAGGTAGAATGGGAGCATTGTGACTTAAATTAGGCTGATCAGGGAAGACTTCATTAAGAGGTGAGATTGAAGCCAGGCACAGTGACTCATGCCTGTAATCCTAGCACTTTGGGAGGCCAAGGCGGGCAGATCACCTGAGGTCAGGAGTTCGAGACCAGCCTGACCAACATGGAGAAACCCCATCTGTACTAAAAATACAAAATTAGCCGGGTGTGGTGGTGCATGCCTGTAGTCCCAGCTACTTGAGAGGCTGAGGCAGGAGAATCTCGTGAACCCGCGAGGCGGAAGTTGCAGTGAGCCGAGATCTTGCCATTGCATTCCAGCCTGGGCAACAAGAGTGAAGCTCCATCTCAAAAAAAAAAAAAAAAAAAATTGTGAGATTGAGCAGAAACATGGAGCAAGTGACAGAGTGAATCATGCAATATGTCTGGTAAAGAACATTCAGGGCAGAGGAAACACTACGTGCAACAGCGCATCTTTCTCTGGAGGTGAGAACTCACTTGACATGAGGGCAGTGAACAGAGTGGAGTGAACAAGGGAGAGAATGGCAGGAGATGAGGTGAGGAGGGAAATGGGGGTGAGGGACTGCAGATATGAGAGAGACTTGCAGAACAGACAACAGACTTTGGCTTTTGGCTTTTTTTTTTTTTTTTTTGGAGTGAAATGAGAGCTTTTTGGAGTGCTTTGAGCAGAAGAGTAACATGATCAAATTTATGTAAGAGAATTACTCTATGCAGAACAGTTGGAAGAGGGGGCAGCAGTGGACATGCAGTTGCCAGTTAAGAAGGAAGTTACTTCAATGCTACAGAAATGTTGTTGGCTTAAATAGAGAGAAGGGTAGCGATGATGAAAAGTGTCAGACTACAGATGTGCTGATAAAGATAAAGCTGAGAGATTTTTGCTAATACAGGTTCTCCTCGATTGTTATAGGGTGGTTATGTCCAGATTGTCAAATCAAGTTTAGCCTAAAGCTGCCTCCTTACATATTTTAAGTTCAGCCTAAAGGTTTCTCTGTACATCATGAACTATAGCAAGCGGAGGTGTAAACAGACTGTAGCCTACTCTTGTGCCAATCGCTCAGTTTTGGCCAATCAAATGTAGCCAACTGTTCGAGCCATGTTCAAATAAGGCAAACGCAGAGCTGTAACCAATCCAGCTGTTTCTGCACCTCACTTCCGTTTTCTGTTGGTCACTTTCCTTTCTCTGTCCATAAATCTTCTTCCACCACGTGGCTGCACTGGAGTCTCAGAGCTACTCTGGCGTGGGAGCCTGCCTGATTCATGAATCGTTCGTTTCTCAATTAAGCTCCTTTAAATTTAATATGGCTAAAGCTTTTCTTTTATCAAGATAAACCCATGGTAAGCTGAAAATATTGGAAGTCAAAAATGCATTTAAGACACCTAACATAGCGAGCATCATAGCATAGCTTAGCCCACCTGAAACGTGCTCAGAACACTCACATGGAACACGTTCACCTACAAAATCATCTGGCAACTCAATCCACCGTCAGTTGTTGGTAATCACGTGGCTAACTGGGAGCTGCGGTTCACTGTTGCTGCTCAGGATCATGACAGGTTATTGTACCACATATTACTAGCCTGGGAAAATATCAAAATTCACAGTCTTGCACCACCATAAAGTCAGAAAATTATAAGTCAAATCATTGTAAGCTAGGGACCATCTGTGGATGTAGGGTGAAATAAAAGAGTAAATGATAAAACATGTGAATGTAACGAGTTACCACATGTACCCTAAAAATATGTACATCTAATTATACACCAATTTTTAGAGTAATTAATCAATTTTTTAATTTTTTTTTTGAGACAGGGTCTTGCTCTGTCTCTTGGGCTGGAATGCAGTGGTGTGATCTCGGCTCACTGAAACCTTCACCTCTGGGGCTCAAGTGATCCTCCCGTCTTGGCCTCCCAAGCAGCTGGGACTACAGGCATGTGCCACCATGCCCAGCTCATTTTTTTTTTAATTTTTTATAGAGACAGGGTCTCATTATGTTGTCCAGGCTGGTCTCAAACTCCTAGGCTCAAGCGACCCTCCCACCTCGGCCTCCCAAAGTGCTGGGATTATATGCATGAGCCGCAATGCCTGACCTAATTAATTAATTTTTTTTTTCTTTTTTGAGACGGGTCTTGCTCTGTCGCCCAGGCTGGAGTGCAGTGGTGCGATCTCGGCTCACTGCAAGCTCCGTCTCCCGGGTTCACGCCATTCTCCTACCTCAGCCTCCCGAGTAGCTGGGACTACAGGCGCCGGCCGCCATGCCCGGCTAATTTTTTGTATTTTTAGTAGAGACGGGGTTTCACCGTGTTAGCCAGGATAGTCTCTATCTCCTGACCTCGTGATCCACCCACCTCGGCCTCCCGAAGTGCTGAGATTGCAGGTGTGAGCCACTGCACCTAATTAATTCATTTTAAAAAATTAGGAGTAAAGGATGACTCCAAACCTCTTTGTTAGATTAACATGGAGAATGAAGGTATCATTGACTGAAAAGAAGACTGGGAGGAGCAGGTTGAGGTGGGAGAAAGGAGAATCAGTCCATTTTTTTTGCATGACATATTTGAGGTATCTATTAGACATCCTAGTGGACATAAGGACTGGGCAGTTAGATATGAAGTCTGAAGTTTAGAAGGGAGGTCTAGTTTAGAGTTATAAATATGAGAAGTTGTCAGGTTCTACAGGTAGTTAAAGCCATAAGATTGAATGAAATCCCTCAGGGAGTGAATATACTTAAAACAGAGATCAAAGGACTGAGACCCAGGAGACTCCAATATTTAAGGGTTGGGTTAATAAAGAGAAACTGAAGGTGGTCTCATAGACCAATGTGAAGCAAATGTTTCAAGAAGAGGTTCAACTGTGTAAAATGGGCTGATAGGTTTGTTAAGTCAGAAGAGAACAAAGAACTGACCATTGAATTTAGCAGCATGAAGGTCCTTAATAACCGTGGCAAAAGCTGTGTTTTTCTTTTCAGTGTGTCTTTTTATTTATTTATATTTTTTAAACAGTGTTAGTGTAATATAATTTACATATCATAACATTCATCCACTTAAAGCATATAATCCAATGGTTCCTCGTATGTTCAGTGTTGTACAACTGCCACCGCAGTCAATTTTAGAACATTTTCATCACATTAAAAAGAGAATCCATAACCATTGATAGTCATTCTCACTCCTCTCCACTGACCCACCCATCCTCATCCCTCTAGCCCCCAGCCCCAGGCAATCACTCATCTATTGCCTCTCTCTAGATATTGGCCTATTCTGGACATATTATTTTATTCCTTCTACCTAACTGTAATTAGATATCCTTTGACCAACATCTCCCTATATTCCCTCCCCACTAACCAAACATGCTTCTGATAAGCGTCATTTTCCTCTTCACTTTTAAGAGATCTACTTTTTTAAGTTCCACATACGAGTGAGATCATGTGGTATTTGTCTTTCCGTGCCTGCCTTATTTCACTTAATGTCCTCCAGGTTCATCCACATTGTTGCAAATGACAAGATTTCATTCTTTTTTATGGCTGAATAGTATTTCATTGTATTCATATATCACATTTCCTTTATCCATTTATCCATAGATAGACACTTAGGTTGATTCCATATTAACTATTGTGAATAATGCTGCAATAAACATAACAGTACAGATAACTTTTCGGCATGCTGATTTCATTTCCTTTGGATGTATACCCAAGCACTTCTTGGTTGAGTAGTGGAGACAAATCCTGATAGAATTAGTTCAAGAAAAAAAATGAGATGGTAGAAAGTAAAGGCAGTGAATGTAAAAGATGCTTTCAAAGAGTTTTGCTACAAAGAAATGCAGGGAAGCGGAGTGGGGTCAATGGAAGGAATTTTTTAGACAAGAGCTATTTCAGCAAGTTTGGTAATAATGGGCATCATCCATTAGAAGGGAGAGAAACGTGCCAGTGCTGGAGAGAGGTGCGGAAGTGACATTCGTGTGCAGATCAGAGGGAATGGGACCTAGTGCACCGTGGGGATTGACCTCAGGCTGAAAGAGGAACAGGTGAGCCTTTTGTCTACACAGAGTGTGCTTTTGGGAGGGTAATAGTTTCAGGGGAGACACTGGAAAGTTCCTTTTGAATTGTTTTTATTTTCTTAACGGATTAGGGACCGAGGTCACCAGAGCTAACGTGTTGGGTGAAAGAGGAGATACTGTAAAATAGAGGTTTAAGGCCGGGCGCGGTGGCTCACGCCTGTATTCCCAGCACTTTGGGAGGCGGAGGCCGGTGGATCACGAGGTCAGGAGATGGAAACCATCCTGGCCAACAAAGTGAAACCCCGTCTCTACTAAAAATACAAAAGTTAGCTGGGTGTGGTGGCACGTGCCTGTAATCCCAGATACTCGGGAGGCTGAGGCAGGAGAATCGCTTGAACCAGGGAGTGGAGGTTGCAGTGAGCTGAGATCATGCCACAGCACTCCAGCCTGGCGATAGAGCAAGACTCTGTTAAAAAAGAAAAAAAAAAAAAGATAGTGGTTTAAGAGACTGGGCGAGTAGATGGACTAAAGAAATGGGGAAGGGCACTCGGGAGCGCCCCCTTGAGGTTGTGGACTTAGTGACCATTGCGCTTGGTTCGTGTTCCTGTCTCAGAGGTCACCACACTTGGTGTTCGGCTTAGGTGTCCTTCTTGTCCCCCTGACCAAATCTTAAGCTCTTCGAATAGAGATCCCTTAGTCATTTCTGAACTTCCAGTGCCTAGCAAAATGCCTGATAAAACATTTGTTGCATTACGATCGGATGAAGTCTCATCACACATCCACAAGTCACGTTTCTGCCCCTCCCATCTTGAGGCTGCATAAATCAGGCTAGGAGCCTCTCCAGGTTATGGCAGTGTTGCACAGAGGCTGGCATTTAGCAATGCTCAATAGACGTTCGGTTAGTAAATAAGGGAAGGGTGGGGGAGACGCTTCTTAGGCTCTTGCTATTGCGTATTCTTGTGTATCAGGAGACTCAAGTTCCTAAGGCTTTCTCCAGCCTAGTCAGGAAAATAGCCTGTCCTCCGTCTTCAAAATAACAATAGATCTTTTCATCTTGAGATCCACAAGCACACTGACACAAGCTTCAAACAAAGAACCATTTCCCACAACCCATGATCATCCCCCACCGCAGTTTGTGGACAGGTAATCTGAAGCACACAGAGGTCAAATGAGCCTAAAGGTCACAGATCCAAGCTCCTGCCCTGGAGCTGCCAAATAGAATCTATTATATGCTGATCATCAGTTTGCATTTGAACACAGGACAAATAAAGTCAGTCTATAAAATATAACTTATTACTATAATCAGACCTCCCCAAAATAATATTTTTTCAAGTTTTCTCTCTATATAATATATATACTTATGTATACTCTTTTTTGTTCCACAAAGAATTTGAGGAGGCTTATAGTTTGACATTTTTCCCCAAATAGAAAGAGAAAAAAGAAAGAGCAAAATTTTGCAAGCATCAAAGATTCTCCCAGGATCCTGATGCCACGCATATTTGTCCACCTTGCTGTAGTCATTTTGTATAACTCTGTTTACAATGACCAATCCCTCTTCTTAACTTTTCTCTGCAGAAGTAAAATTTCCACTGTAATTCTCCCTAAACAGGTGAAGAAAGGAGGGTTGGAGGAACTTCCATAGCCTTCCCATGAGGCATAATCAGAGCCAGATGCCAAACTTTCTGAATCAAGAGTGGACTCACATGCGATAAAAACTAGTGATTTATTTATTATAGGGCTCTAATTAATAAAATATGCTTTTAACCTACAGCCAACAGGGTGTATTCCACTAGTATGCCCATAAAATATGGCTGGCAAATTGAAAGTAGCATAAAGGCTGAATCACTGTAATTTTTACCACATTAAGAAGCCCCAACTTGAGTTTTACATTACATCTACCTAATATCAACCCTACTGGGAGCAAAAGCAAATATGTAGTCAGCCCAACAAGTGATCTGTCTCAAATTTTGGCTCAAATAACCACTCTGTAAATTAATTTACCAAAATGCCTATTTTGGGGACAGACAAGATCATCCGGGGACATGCTATTCCTCAATTGCCCCTTAGGGAATCCATTTAATTATAACAAAACGAGGCCAGTTAAATGTGGCTTCAGTGCTTGTCAACAGTTCCTTAATATTATTGTCATTATATTAACACTTAATAATAATGGTGGTCAAATTTTAAAAAAGAATTTTAAAAATAAGAAGGGTGGTGATTATGATAATGACAGGCATCATAAAAGATACCTTTGCAAGGTATTTTGAGAACTGATGTATTGAGGTGCATTCAGGCTATTTAGTTTTTCACAATTGTTAGATGTATCTTTTGTAAAACCTCAGATCGAGAGAGAGAGAGAAAGATCTTAACTGACCTTGGTGATCCACCACCCCTCATATACAGCTTTAGCAGGATAGCTGCGGACCTGTGCTAAGCTCTCTCCTGCTCTGTTCCTTAGGGGGGCAGCAGCTGCACCGCCTACCAGCACAGCGTCACCCTCGGCAAAAGGCTGCCTGCTTCTACCAGCCAGTGCTAAACTGTGCTAAGGGAGAATTAAAAATCATTGCCTTTTGGTGCAACGATTGCTGTGCAGAGAGCAGCCAAGATGGTCTCACTTCCCAGCACTAGAGATGCCCGCAGCCAGAGGAGAATTGAGAATGATTAATAGGACAAGTAAAATTGTGTTTCCAGGGTTATACTTGGTTTTGAAAGCTGAAGATGCCCTGATTGTATCCCATTAACCAAATTTGAGTTTGCTATGTTTTCTCTGCTGTGAAAATACAGGTGTTACCATCCTAGGAAGTCATCAGCATCAGAAAGTTGCCCTCTGAAGCCTGCTTTCAGGGACTGAGATCCAAAAACACTTATTTGTAGTCCCATTCCTCCAGCATCCCCTCTCACAGTCTCACAAGCCCTATGTGAAGTATAGACTTGAATAAACTTGATCCAGGAGACAATAAAGTCCTTCTTATGCATATTCATTCCTGAACTGTAATGAGCATCTTTCCTGAGTTGGACACTAAGAATGCCTGTGAAAACCCAATGTGCCTGAGAGCAAGGAGGAAGCTTTCTGATGCTAGAAGAAATAAGAATACGATCTCTACTAAACTGGGAAAAGGCATCCATTTAAAGCAGAGAGGCAGGTACATAAACAAGCTCATTAGGATGTGCTAGTGCCACAGTCCTATGTGCTTAGCCACTGTCTTTGAGGTTCCAACCAACAATAAGTATCAATCAATAATCAATAGTCAACAAGTATAAATTGACCAACACTTGTTAGGTATCTATTTTGTGCCCAGAATACTACTTGGTTCTAGAAAAGGATACAAGATAAATATGAGACATTTCTCCCACCCTTTCCATATTTAAATTGTACATAATTCACATAAAAACTTCTGAGTATATACTGTAAGCAAAACTAACATG
Source organism: Homo sapiens (assembly GCF_000001405.40). Classification (NCBI taxonomy): domain Eukaryota; kingdom Metazoa; phylum Chordata; class Mammalia; order Primates; family Hominidae; genus Homo; species Homo sapiens. Next base: position 8,443,866 of record NC_000010.11, on the reverse strand, counting down.
CAGAGTCATTGGAAATAAAAGCTGTGCTCTATCTGTAGCCCAAGTTTCAGACACATTTAAATCAGCTATTGGATTAATCAAATCAGAGCTACCTTCATGGTGACCTGATGAGCTGACTCCTTGGGCATCATGACCATTGTAATCTTTCTTAGTGTGTGGACCAAAGTAAATACCATCTATCCTGTGGCGCTACTGGGATCATAGAATTGTAACATTTAAAGGGACTTCAGAGCCCAATTCTTTACCCGACCTAAGATTCCACTCTGGAACAAGCCATTCTTAAACATTTCTAGCAAGCATTACCTAACCAAAAAGTTCACTGCCTTTAAACTTCAAAACGCCTCCTTTCTGATGTGAAAGGAATTCAGTCTCCTTACAACTTTTTTTTTTTTTTTCGAGATAGGGTCTCTCATTCTGTCACCCAGGCTGCAGCACAGGGCATGATCACAGCTCACTGCAGCTTCAAGCTCCTGGGCTCGAGCAATCCTCCTGCCTCAGTCTCCCAAGTAGCTGGGACTACACGTGCACACCACTATGCCCGGCTAACTTCTGTACTTTTTGTAAACATGGGTTTTCCCCGTGTTGTCCAAGCTGGTCTCGAACTTCTGGGCTCAAACAATCCACCAGCCTCAGCCTCCTAAAGTGCTGGTGCGTGAGCCACCGTGCACAGCCTCTAACAACTTTGATCACCTTTTTCTACACAGCTTCGTCAAATAAATTTAATCTTTTTTTAAAAATATGAGCACATGTAAATATTTTAAAATGATATCCACATGTCTTTCTTTTTCCCAGGCTGAATTCCTTCAACCACTTCTTCTATGACAAGATTTTTCAATCATTCACCAGTTGAATTGCCTCCTTCTAAATATTCTCCTGTTTTAAACATGTCTGTTAATGTAACATGGCTCTATGCATTCACACTATGAAACTCCATCTTACCTGTGAAATGGCAGAGTTAGGCTAGATCAATATGATCGTATTCTTCCATCACTAAAGGAACTGATTTAAACAAATTTCCTCTCCCACAGCTGTAGGCATCTAAGAGATCTCCAGGGAATATCCATAGAAAACAGTGTCTTTGGACCAAACATGTTGAAAAGAGACTAGAGTTGTGTGGTAATCACTGTGAAGAATACGTTTTTTGGCAGGGTGTGGTGGCTGACTCCTGTAATCCCAGCACTTTGGGAGGCCAAGGCAGGCAGATCACTTGAGGCCAGGAGTTCGAGACCAGCCTGGCCAACATGGTGAAACCCCGTCTCTACTAAGAATACAAAAATTAGTCGGGCGTGGTGGTGTGTGCCTGTAGTATCAGCTACTCAGGAGGCTGAGGGACAAGAATCGCTTGAACCCGGGAGGTAGAGGCTGCAGTGAGCCAGGATTGCACCACTGCCCTCCAGCCTGGGCAAGAGAGTGAGACTCCATTTCAAAAAAAAACAGAATGTAAATAACAGATATAAAATCTTGACACCTATTACCTAGTACTTGGTAAGCAATGTCCTTGGGACTAACATCAGTGTAGCTGATCTGTATTGTTGAAATAACTTTAATTCATTTCCAATAATGAAATAAGAGTACGACAAAAAAATTGAACTGAACATAATCTCTGCACACTGAGTTCATGATCTTAGTGGGAAGGGCAGGTAGAGTCATAATTTGGTGTTTATAGCAAAAAAAAGTTATAATTTAAAGAAATTAGCCTATGTAGTCCTTTAAAACGAAATTAAATCTAGGGTTCCTGGAGAAACAAATATTCGGGACTGCACAGGTAGAAATTTTATAGATTTGATTAAAAAATAACCTTGTCAACCTATTTTTTACTTGAGCCTAGGTGAAATCAAGCAAAAGGTCTGAAGGAACTTGACCAAAAATAATGTGCTGGAGGTTTTTCAATCATTTTTATTAGATTTTCAGGGAATTATTTTTAGTAAGGAGAGTGAGATGGGATATTGGTTGCAGGTAAAATATTAGCTTAGCAACCCAAGCAGATGCTGATAGCTGTGCATGGCGGTCTAAGAACAGAGGAAGAGGTTAGAAAATGAAAATGTAGTCTCTGGAGAAAATTACTATGGCCCTGACATTTTCAATGCAGAAATGCCTAGAGAGGAAGGGTTACAAAAAAAAAATGAAATCCTGTTTTCCCTGTTCTGGGAAAACAGGATCCTAACAATGGAGCTTATTAAAAGTTATTTTTTTAACTGATGACTGTTCCATTCTGTGCTAGAAAATTGGGTGAGGCTATTTCTGATTTAATAAGATGGATGGATATCCTTGCCCTCGAAACTCTGGCATTAAGAAGATAATATTCTGAGGAGTAGTGGTGCTTCTGGGGATAGAAAATAGAGTCCTTCAAAAGCAGCCAGATGACACAGTCCCTCTCTTAAAAGAATGGCTTGGAGTTTTCATGCATGTCTGCGCCCAGGGTAATGAGCACCAGGGACTTACCAGTGGAATTCTTAGCTGGCTACAGGGCACTTCAGTGTTCCGTCTCTCAGTTGGAGAAAGACTGAGATTATGGGGGAAAGAAAAAATCAGGAGACATAGTATTAGTCTGTGCCCTGTTTGACTGTGAGCTTGTTATTCTCAGATTCCTCATCTGAAAATGTCCTCCTTAGGCTCAGAGACTTTTCTAGTGAAACCCGGCTCTGGGACAACTGCTCTCATGATCTGCCTTCAAGATGCCTTTCCTTATTCTTTTAGCATTAGGTTTTCTTAAATGTACAATTAGATTAGGAGCACTTGAATCTCTAAAAGGAAAATCCCTTGTAAAAGTAAATGGAGTACCTGGTAGCTGCATTCTTTGGAGAACACACAGGATCTGCAGGCACCGGATACCCCGTGACCATGAAGGATGCCATGGGTTTGGGCAGGTGGGCTGCCTCTGTGTGCAGTGTCATCTACCCACAGCACAGCTACCCTGGTCCTCACCCCACGGCAGGCCATGCAGGACAGCAGCCAGCTGAAGGTCTTCCTCAGGGTTGGGGCTCCCTAGGAGACTGGAGAGTTCATTCACTCCTGAAGAGGTGACTCTTCCCAACATGAAACCGCACACAAGTCCTTGGAGTTCCCAGAACAACACTGAGCTCCCGGTCAGAGAAGGAAGGGTGGTGGGAAGCTAAAGGGAGTTGGTTTGTATTATTGTGATCACTTTCATTCACGTCCAACAATAAAATAAGAGGATAACAAAGAATGGAGCTGAACATACATCTCTCCATATTGAACTGAGCTCCTGATCTTCTACTGAGCGAGAACAGAAAAATGGTTATGATGGTGTTTTCTAAAGGATGCAGAGGGTACCTTAGTGTAGTGAGGAGTGGGGTGGGAAGGAGGCAGCTGGAAAGAAAATGCATGATAGAGGGGCAGAAAATCAGAAGAGTAAAGAAGTGACACAACTCAGGGAATGAACCTAAAATATTAGAATAAGGAGACGGAGAGGGAGACCAAAGGAGAGGTCCCAGGAGGGGCAGAGGGGAAGAACATGATAAGGACAGAGTCAGAGGGGGTGAGAGTTCTCTGGGGTCCGCTCTGTGTAAGTCACCGTCGTTTTATGGGTCAGCCTGGCTAGGCTATAATGCCTAGTTGTTTGGTCAAATACCAGCTTAGCTGTTGCTGTGAAGGTGTTTTTCAGATGTGATGAACATCTCCATCGGTGGACTTTGAGTAAAGCAGGTTGTCCTCAGGCTTTGTCCAATCACTTGAAGGTCTTAAGACTAAATATTGAGTTTCCCCCAAAAGAAGAAGTTCTGCCTCCAGAGGGCAACATGAAAACCCTTAGTTGAGTGTCCTCTTCCAGCCTGATGGCCTGCCCTGCAGGTTTCAGACTTGCCAACACCCACAATTGTATAAGCCAATTCCTTAAAATCAATCTTTTTATTTTTATTTTTTTTTATTTATTTTTGAGACCGAGTCTCACTCTGTCACTCATGCTGGAGTGCAGTGGCATGATCTTGGCTCACTGCAATCTCCGCCTCCTGGGTTCAAGCGATTCTCCTGAGTAGCTGGGATTACGGGCTGCTGCCACTACACCCAGCTAATTTTTTGTGTTTTTAGTAGAGATGGGGTTTTACCGTGTTAGCTAGGCTGGTCTCCAACTCCTGACCTCGTGATTCACCCACCTCAGCCTCCCAAAGTGCTGGGATTATAGGTGTGAGCCACCGCACCTAGCCCAAAATCAATCTCTTTACATATGTGTGTAAATACACACACCACACACACACACAGATACACAACACATCTGTTGCTTCTGCTACTCTGGAAAACCCTAATACATTATATAAAGTACTGTTCATAACTGCGCAGTGACTGCTGATCCTATCTTAGAGACAGGAAAGTTTCAGAGAGTTTCTCTCCCCAGTTAGCCCCCTGGTAACTACTCACTAATCTCTCCCCAGTCCTTTATATGGAAAGAAAGGAGCAGTTATGCAAATCTAGGTCTTTCTCACTTCCAAATCTATTGTACCCTAAGACAGGCAGGGGTTTCTACAAGTCATTTAGTCCCATTTGAGGCATTTGAGAATTTTCAGAATGTCCTTTGGCAACACTTGAGCAGACAGGCAAACAGAATTCTTTTCCATGACTTGATGGCCTCTGGCAATTACGTGGCCCCAAAGTGGCCTGGCCCATGGGGTTTGGGAGGGAGCATTGGATACCAAGGATGTCAACCACTTCTGAAATGTCAATACCTAGGAAAAAATGCAGTGGCTCACTCACACAGGCAGTACACCACCTGGAAGCCTGAGCTCATCTTCCCATCTGCTTCATTTACTGTTCCTTACCCTGATTGGCATGAATTCCTACATTGGTTACATCTGCAGCATTTCATATGCAGGGGCAGGCCATAGTCATGTGCATAATTGAGTTCTGAAGTGTACAAGACTGCAAGACCCACTTACAGTGAATTTTGTTCTTTTTCAACTCATCTGTGTGTCCCAGAGTGTACACACCCTATCCAACATCACTGAGCTTCAACAGGTTGGTAGCACCTAGTAGCCCCTGGTAACTACCTCACCAACTTCCCCCAAGGTCTTTTATCTGGAAAGGGAAGTGCCAGTCAGGTATCTCACAGGAACCTGAAGAAGGCAGAGGGTTAACCACCAACGGAAGCTCAATTTCAACAGCCTTTATTAACCCTGCAAGTGACTCTAACCACTACCTTCAGGACACAGCAAAGGAACCCGGTTCCCCTCACTTCTGTCATACCACAGAGCTGATATTTAACAAGGAAAAACTGTTGGTACACCTGTATACGTTTCATGTGGCTTTTGCTACCTACCAATGTAATCAATGTAATCACTTTTCTTCTTGATCTTTTTTTTCTGCCAGAGGTAAGTGATTTCTCCTGCACAAAGATTTTTTTAATGCTTTCAAGAGCCAACATTGAATCTTTTAATGATCAAATATCAACTAGCATTTTCTTAGACCTCTAGAATGAGGATTGTAGAAATTTTATAAGGCAAACCAGCCTGGTATCTTGAAAACATCATGGCCCTGGGAATCAGAAGAGGCAAAGCACTAACTCAGTCACTTAACCTCCTTAGAGTCCATTCCATTTAGTCAATATTTATTGAGCATTTCCTGTGTCCTGGGCATTTTCTTGAGCACCAGAGACATAAAGACAAATGAACCCTAGCCTTGCCTGCAGAGAGCTTATAATTTACTGTTAGAGACAGTCGTGTAAAAAAACAACTGCAAAACTGAGTGAGCCATACCTCAACAGAAGTACACACAATGTGCTAGATGCACTAATGGAACCGAATGATTCATTCCATCCTGGATGAGCTTTAGGGCATGTTTCTCAAAGAAGGTGACACCCCAGTACAGCCTCTGTTTTTCTCATCTAAGGAATGAAGAGGCCAAAGTGAAAAATTCCTATGTCTCTCCCAGCCTTACGGCTCTGAAATTCAGTAAGTGTGCAGATAAATCCAAGAAATCCTGAAAACCAGAATGTTCAGAGTTGGGCAGTCTTGGAGGGGACTGGTGGTTCGTGGAATTGGATAGCTACAGATACTGGCCTCTGCTCAGAGAGCCAGGCTGCTAGGCAGAGCCCCAAGGACGGGGTGCTCTTCTACCCAGTCCTCCCAAGCCACCAGGATTCATGTCACCCTTTTGATGAGTGAAAAAATCAATTCAAAAAATACTCTATTGCAAGACTCTGTGGGCTAGTAGAAGAAGACAAGTTAATGGCCGGGCATAGTGGGTCACACTTTAATCCCAGCACTTCAGGAAGCCGAGTCAGACAGATCACTTTGAGGCCAGGAGTTTGAGGCCAGCCTGACCAACATGGTGAAACCCTGTCTCTACTAAAAATACAAAAATTAGCCGAGTGTGGTGGCATGCACCTGTAATCCCAGCTACTGGAGAGGCTGAGGAGGGAGAACTGCTTGAACCCAGGAGGCGGAGGTTGCAGTGAGCCAAGATCGCACCACTGCACTCCAACCTGGGCAACAAAGCAAGACTCCGTCTCAAAAAAAAAAAAAAAAAAAAAAAAAGACAAGTTAATATGCAATCTCTGCCATTGAGAAGCCCACAGCCTGACGAAGAATTAGGATATGGTACAGGAAGAATTAGGGAAACCCAGGGTACAAATCAAGGCCCAATATAGAGTACAAAAGGAGGTGCAGGCAAGGAGTTAATTAAAGGAAGGAAAATGTTTGTCTTCTACAGGAACCAAAGAAGGCTTCAGGACATGCCCAACTGGAGGTTATCAAAGGGCAGAGAGATAACAGGAAGAAAGGAAGAACATTCTACACAGAGCAAACTACTTGAGCAAAAGCGGAAAGATAGAGACACTTTAGGAGATTGTAAGCAGAATTAGAGTGGAGCTATAGAATATAATAATAATAATTAACATTTTTATTAATATTACTTACTGAGTGCCTATTGAGTGTGCCAGGAATTTCAAATGTCCTTCCTCACCCTTCACTGCCACCTGTGATATGGGTATCACCCCCATTTTTCAGATGAGCAAACTGAGGTTTCATGGGCCAAACTGAGATTTTAACAAGATGCTCCTGATCCCAGGGTCCACACTCTTAACAATCATGCTTGTTTATTTGATGTGCTGCTGGGAAATGAATGCCTCGCTCAAAAGGCCCTGTAAAATAGTGTTTTGAAGGACAGGAATAGTAGAATACAGCAGATAAATCTGGCAGCATTTTGGAAAATGGCTTGGAGCAGGAAAAGACTAGAGATAAGGAAATCTTTGACCTACGTGTTATAGTAATGAGAGATATGCAAGAGCAATAAACACTTCTGCACTGAGGCAATAGGAGTCAAAAAATGGAGAGGAAAGCAGGGATATATGAAAAAAAACCAGGTCATGGGGTAGAATCCCTAGAACCTCCCTAGTGGTTGGATATGGTGGAAAAGGGAAGAATAGGGAGTTTGGAGAATGTGTGTTCGGTTCCTGAGGTCCCCTTCCAAGCCAGAGTCATTTCCTTCCATCCAGTCTCTTGGATCCATAGGCAGAAAGAGGGAGTTTTCTGAAATGTTTTCTTTCCTCTAAAGTATGCATCTTACAAATTCATGTTTCTCCTGGACTTCAGTAGCTGCATAATAATCAATTGTTATCCCTGTAAGTTCCAGGAAATTTAGTTTAAGGTTTCTTATAGGAAATATGGATAGGCAAAAGTTCCTCTATAAAAACTCTGCCCAAATCACCTATTTCTGGGGCACATTGCTTATAATAGGTACTGAATGAATATGTTCTAAATGAATAAGTAGATAAACCACAAACACTTTCAACCCCTTGACCCTTGTGAGACTTTTACCCCTACCTTACTTTCAAAACAGAACTCCAGAGGCAAGAGTTAAACAAAGGCCACCAGGACACAGAATGTAGCAATGCTGGGATGTGCGGTGAGAGAACAGGGAAGAGAGACCTTAGCTGGGTCTGTCCTCTGATGTTTGGTGTGACTGCTGACACATGGCAGGACCTCAGTAAGCATTGGTTGGATGGATAGATGAATGAGTGAGTCAGATCATCTAGCTTTGAAGATCTCAGTAGTTCCTGTTTAAGTAGAGGAGTTTGGGCAGCCATCAGCCCCATTAACCTAACATGCCAATGTGATTAATGTTGCTTTTTCCAGAAGCTTGGCCTTGCCTGCAAAACTCAACACTGAACACCTGAAGGAAAAAAAAATCCCATTGGCAAAGCTTGCTTTTAACCGTGGGAGACACCAAGCAACGTTGCCAGTTTCCCGGGGGCCCAATACCTTTCTGACTTTGCAATAACTCCCAAGTTAAACAAATTGCCAAAGAGTTATAAGCCTCTTATTAGTTGGATGGCTTCCCCCAATTGCTCTGCTGGCTGCATTTTCCCTGCACACACATTGGTGAGTTCTGCCGACTATTCGTGTGCCTGCAAGTTGAGGAGCTCTGGCATTTCTGTGATCTACAGTCTCCAATCTCCACTCCCTCTTGCCTTCACTTTGAACTGAAGTGCTGTCTTAAGCAACCCCACTACCCACCACCTAACAAGCCAGGACGTGAGTCTTCATGACTGTTACAACACTTGAACCTGATTCCAGGCTAACCAGTAACACCAGTATTCAAACTGCAGTGTGAGGAACACCGCAACAAGCTGAAGAAATGGCCTGTACCGATTTCCTAATGGTCAGAGGATGAAGTGCGGCACAGCAACAGCTGGAAACACAGGTTACAGAAGGCTTAGACAAGAGAGGCATTGGAGAATACCGTGAAAATCTAAAATAGAGAGCTAGCATTCGTTTATGGCCTTCAGTTTACATGGCAGAAGCCAAAATGGAGAGCTGGGAGAGATCAGTTTCACCTGGGTAAAGACCAATCGGATGCTTTGGGATAAAAATCCACTTTAGAAATTAAATTATCCATTTCAGTTTACCGCCCTAATTCATAAGTCAATGTCCAACTCTATTTGATTTTGTATTGAACAAAATTTAGCTGTTATACCAACTTCTGTTTCTGCATGAATTTACATATAACATAAGATCTCTGTGGACTGGGTGTGGTGACTTGCATCTGTAATCCCAGCACTTTGGGAGGCTAAGGTTGCAGGGTCACTTCAGCCAGGGAGTTTGAGACCAGACTAGGCAATATAGTGAGACCTCGTCTCTACAAAAAATTTAAAAAACAAACCAAAAACAGCCAAATGTGGTGGTGCACGTCTATAGTCCCAGCTACTCTGGAGGCTGAGGTGAGAGGATTGCTTGAGCCCAGGGGGTCAGAGGCTGCAGTGAGCTGGGATCACACCACTGCACACCAGCCTGGGAAACAGAGGAAGATTCTGTCAAAAAGAAAACAAAACTGTATGATGATTATACAACGTGAAATGAAGCAATTCCATCAAAATTTATTCCTCAATAAGAGCTCCTTGAAAAGAATTATAAGCTAAGTTTTCTGTTTTGTTTTTCTTTGAAAAGTGCAAATTTCTATAGTACACTGGTTCCACTATTTTCTTGGAGTATGATAAGGTTTATGCCAAGAGATCACATTAGTTTCTGTACACTGTTTCTATTGATTCAAGGCTCCTACCTAAGATTAGAAGAAACAATCATTTTATTAACTGCAGTCAAAGGGTTATGGAGAAAATCTGTGTCCGCCGGATATACATAATTCCATCTTTCCTTCTTAGCACTCTTATCTTATTTCATCTAGAGATTTTCCCTAGATGAAATAAGGTGGAAAATCAATAAGATCTTCAGAGGGTGGGGAGAGGAGTGGAAGGACAGAAGAGGAGGAGAGAAAGGGGAGAGGCCGGGCTCCCACAAAAGTGTGCAAAAGCAACCAATTCCCCATGAGCTTCTCTGACGTGCAGAACCTCAATCTGAAATAGAGAGTGGAGTCAGATGGAAATTGAACACGTTCATGACTCAGATTCTTCCTGAGCACCTCTCTGTCGTTGTCCTAAAAAGCATTACAATTTGGTGAAAGAGGGCAGTTCCTCTAGGATGGCCATCTATCTTCTGAGTCCTTATTTCTGCTACTTCAAGAAGACAAAAATGAATGAGTGGTCTGCTTGGAGTCTATCCATAGCAGAGAGGCCTTTTCCAGTTTGCTCTTTTCTAATTCTTTTTAGTCACTTGATTTTGTTAGGAAATCAAATCTACAGGTTCATTTCAACCTGCAGATTCAAGGTCTTCTGGAGGCTTCATGCATTTATACTTCCAAATCCAAAAAGAGATCTTGATAAAGCAGGGTTTTTTTCTTTTCTTTCTTCCTTTTTTTTTTTTTTTTTTTTTTAAGACAGAATTTCACTCTTGTCTCCCAGGCTGGAGTGCAGTGGTGGGATCTCAGCTCACTGCAACCTCTGTCTCCCAGGTTCAAGCGATTCTCCTCCCTCAGCCCCCCAAGGATTACATGTGTGTGCCACCACGCCAGGCTAATTTTTGTATTTTTTTAGTAGAGATGGGGTTTCACCATGTTGGCCAGGCTGGTCTCGAACTCCTGAGCTCAGGTGATCCGCCCACCTCAGCCTCCCAAAGTTCTGGGATTACAGGCACCCAACACCATGCCCACCTTTATATATCTATATCTATAAATTAGTAGAGATGGGGTTTCACCATGTTGGCCAGGCTGGTCTCAAACTCCTGACCTCAGGAGATCCACCTACCTCGGCCTCCCTAAGTGCTGGGATTACCGGCGTGAGCCACCGCGCCTGGCCAAAGCAGCATTATTTATAACTGCTGTGTACTAGACATTACTAAAAGCCTTACTCACCTCTGACTGCTTCTTTGTCTAACACATCTTTCAAATCATTGTGTGGAAAAGAGCTCAATTAGTTCCATCCAGTGATATATTATTCTTAACCACGCACATAAGGCAACCTGATATAAACTGGCAGGGTTCACACCAAAGAAAACTGCTAAAATTTTCAGATTGTGGAGATGGCCTGATCCACAAAGATTGCCCTAAAACTGAAGTAGGAGAAGTGACTTTGGTTTGGCCTAATCCCCACTTACACATGTCATGAAGAAAGTCATCTCCCTCTTGCACATCTCAATTTAAGAATAAATTTAAATACAAAGTTTTATTTCTTAAAGAATGGAACAAACTCCAGCTAAAGATTGTTAACCACTGGCAAAATACTCAGCATCTTCTTTATCCTAAGTATTACTGCTATCAGCAAGGCAATTCTATGGTTTCATCAGAAGGAAAAGAAAAAGGAACTTTTTAAATGGGGTGGGAGCTTGAAGGTAAGGTAAGACATTAACACTAGAGAAACCGGGTGGAGTGTACCAGGAGTCTGTATTCTCTTTTCAACTTTAAAATGTTTTCAAAACAGAAAGTTTATTTAAAAGAAATGGGGTGAGGCTGGGAGGTGAGCAGAATAAACTCAGGGCTACAGGAGCATTGAAGAGCTGGTTTCATTTTTTAAAATTTTATTTATTTATTTATTTATTTATTTATTTATTTAAGAGACAGGGTCTCACTCTGTTGCCCAGGCTTCAGGGCAGTGATGCAATCAGAGCTCACTGCAGCCTCAAACTCCTGGGCTCAAGTGATTCTTCCACCTCAGCCTCCTGAATAGCTGGGACTACAGGCATGCACCACCACACTCAGCTAATTTTTTTTTTTTTTTTTTTTTTTGTAGAGATAAGGTCTTATTGTGTTAGCCCTGTTGGTCGCAAACTCCTGGGCTCAGCCTCCCAAAGCCCTGGGATTACAGGCATAAGCCACTGTGCCTAGCCTGAAGAGCTGATTTCAAAGTTGTGGTCATCTATGCCAGATAATAACCCAAGGAAGCCTGACCTGAAATCCACAGAGGACCTCTCATTTTGGTAACATAGATGAAAACCTCGAGGTTGTTCTTATCTCTAGAGAACAGAGATTCCCCACACCTCTGCTGGCCAAGGAAGACTTTAATGGTTTGTCTTTCCAGGCCCCTGAAGGCTGTCCTCCTCTGAGAGCTACTTCATTCATTCATCAGGTGCTTCCTTGAGCTCCTTCTCTCCATTTATACGTGGTGCTTACCAATTCTCTTCCTTCCACAAACGTAGCTTGGGTGTGGAATCAAATCCCAGAAATTACAGTGAGCAAAGATACATGGTATCTAAGAATCTGTGTGTGTGTGTGTGTGTGTGTGTGTGTGTGTGTTTAACCTGTTATTTAAATTTTAAGGCTCAATGGGGAGATGAAAAACAGACCAGAAGAGCTTAAGGCAGTTATATCAGTTCTGTGCAAACAAAGTTGATGTGGCTTGGTGCAAGCCAAGATTAAAAGTGATTGAGTGCTTCTGTATGAGCAAAGAACCCCAGACTGAAAAATAGAAAAGCCCTGTGGTTCTTTGCCAGCCTTCTTAAAATAACTACCATTGTGCTGGATTAAAAGGCATTTGCTGAAGATTTTGTGAAGAATTAAGCTTATTTGTTATTCTTTTGAAACAGAAATGTGAATAAAAGAAAAGCTGTTAGTCAACATTGTCTTAGAAGATAAAGCTTTCAAGATAGCAGAATATCTGGGTCAATGGGAGGCTTCAGCAACTCGTGCCCTGGATTGACAGTTCCCTTCACAACTGCAGCTGAACACTTAATGCTTCCTTCCCTACCCCATCCCCATTCAGGGGCTCATGGGACATGGCCACAGAGAAGTGATGTGTCCTGGTGTCCTGTGCATAGGGTGGTTTCATCCCACCTAGAGTTCAATGGTCACCTCAACAGCATAGAATTGCGCAGACAGAGAGGAAAAAAACAAAGTAGAATTTGGCAGGCAGAGAGAAAGGAACTCTAGAATATCCAAGTGCTCTTGATTGCTTTGATGTTTGATCCATTGGTTCTTCTTCCATACTTCCAAGACAAAGCAAAAGGATTCCAAAATGTCTTCCCATAAAAGAGTCCCTAGACCAAAAACCCAGGGTTGGCTGTAGAGAAAGTAGCCTATTTAAACAGAAATGGGAGCTTCTGCAGCCAACAGAAGCCCTGGGAAGTCACTTTCCCAAGCAAGTCTCAGTGCTCAGCACTGAGTCCTTAACAGAGGGAGGTGGGAAGAGGAGACACAGCTACATTTCACTCAGTTCTACCCCATGATTAGGATCCAGATAGCCTGGAAGTGCTTCCTTCAACAGCCAGAAAGATTTAATCCAGACAGCAGGAATCTCTATGTTTTCTACAGGGCCACTGAGGCCATTTCCTGAAATACAAAATCTGGAAAAAAAGAAAAGCAGCTGGCTGGATGCTTCCAGCCCCCAGGTCTCCTCCCAGCAGCAGGAGATCCTTCCCATTCTTTGGTTAGGGAAAGGCTCTGTCTACAGAACTGTAGAAAGCAGTCAGATAGTTGGCTGTTTACATCAAAACGATTCCAGCATAGCTGACCTCACTTCTGTAATCTCAGCACGTTGGAAGGTCGAGGTAGGAGAATAGCTGGAGCCCAAGAGACCAGCCAGGTCAATATTGGGAGACCTTGTCTCTACCAAAAAATTTTAAAAATTAGCAAAGTATGGTGGTACATGCCTGTAGTCTCAGCTACTCTGGAGGCTGAAGTAGGAGGTTCTCTTGAACCCTGGAGGCAGAGGTTGCAGTAAGCCAAGATTGCACCACTGCACTCCAGGCTGGGTGACAGAATGAGACACTGCCTCAAAAAAAAAAAAAAAAAAAAAAAAAAAAAGACTCCAGTGTAGATAGAGCTCTAGAATGGTGATTCTCAAGTGGAGTGACTTTGCCCCCCCACCAGGGGACACTTGGCAATGTCTGGAGACATTTTTTGTTGTTACAACAGCTATTGTCATCTAGTGGATAGAGTCTAGGGATGCTACTAAATGGACTAAATGCCTACAGTGCACAGACAGCCCTCCACAATGGGAAATTATCTCCCCAAGTGGCGATATGGCCAAGGTTGATAAACCTGATCCTAGAGGGTGGAATGAAAATTAAAGTTTCTACTTTTTCCTATAAAAAGATTTTTTTTGGAAGTTTTAAAAACTCCACAGGAGAATGTCCCAGTGTTTAAACTACTCTGTTTCTGTCATCCTACCCTGCATATCAGGACCTTCTTAGCTGTTCAAACAAAAAGATGCACAAATAACAACCCCTGACAGAAAACAAAGATTCTGAAAATATCGCCCAACTCGCTAATGTAGATATTAATACTTTCCTCAATAAGCCCAGTGACGAACACATTGGGTGTCCCACGTGGCTGGCCCTGAGCTTCCTACAAGAGGGAATTCAAAGAAATATAAGAAACATCAGCATCAAAATAGAAAGAGGAACACACTCGTGAAAAAATTAAAATACAATATTAGAAAACTAGCAAGAAAATGAATAAAGCACACATTTAGCTAAATATTAAAATTACCAAGTTAATATTTATGTTATATGTAACCATTTTAAGGTAATTATAAGTTTAATTACAAGTAACAAGTTTAATAACTACTGATTAATTTGCTTCGGGGGGAACATTAAACCAGGGAATGCCTATCAGCATTATTTTTAATTTTCAAATTCAATAAATGGGATTCTTCTTCAAAGCCACTAGAAGGCCACTGAGAAATTAGATTGACCCAACTCTTCCTGAAAACAAAGTGAGAGTTCCAAGACGATATTCAGAAAAGGAACTTATCAAACTTGGGTTACATCAACGTAAGCAGTCCTTCACAAATCAAAGATTTCTAATTATGCTAGAACGAAACAGAAAATTAGGTGACAAAAGGAGGCTCTTTTCAAAGTAGGCACGCAGACCCTCTTTTTAGCTTAATTTGGCTCAAAAATAAAAATGAAACTTTAAATCCTCTGAATGTGAAATATGAAAAAAACTCAAAACTTAACATGAGATTAAAGTAAGAAAATCCATTGAGTAAAAGAATTTTCTATGGCCCAGCAAACTTATTGAACATAGTTACTGAACATCGAGCTAGAACAGCATTGAGAGGTTTGCAGCTAACTCTTCACTCCTGGTATTGCTAAGCCTAGACCCTATAACTGGGCTACACAGGTAGATGCAAGAACTCTGCAGGAAATAGAGCCTTCCGTCAAGTGAAACAAAGCTGTTCGCTTCCCTTGGAAAAGCCCCTGACCAGGTAGAGCCAAGCTGGGCTGCTCAGATGCAAGGCAGGACCCCTGCAGGGGAGATGCCTCTGCCTGGACACTCAGTAGGTAAGCAAATGACTAGAAGCCAAATACAGGAAGTCCTGGGATCCATGCAATGGTGTTGCATGAATGAAAAGTGAGGTGTTTGTTTGTTTGTTTGTTTGTTTGTTTGTTTGTTTCCCCATGACTCATGTTTCCCCATCTATCAGGCGGGAGAAAAATAAGAACTTACTGTGCCTGGCACAAACTTGTTTCTTGTTTGCATACTTATGCTTGGCTGGACAATGGGAACGACAGCCTGTTTACAACCAAACACTTGGAGTAGCCGCACTAGGTGGCTGGTACCTCTCAGCTAGACTTAAGAAAGGAAAACCCATAAGAAAAGATGGACATGTAGTCTGCTGTGAGCCTTCTGAGGACTCTCCCAGACAACACTAACATCTTTCCAAGGAGGATGGATGTCGCGAGAGATCAGAACCTCGGGAATGTGTCCATTTTAACAGCCCGTATTTCACAGGAGTGAGCGACCTCAAATACAAGAGCTCTGTGTTTTTTTTTTTTTTTTTTTTGGAGACCGAGTCTCACTCTGTCACCCAGGCTGGAGTGCAGTGGCACAATCTCGGCTCACTGCAACCTCCACCCCCAGGGTTCAAGCAATTCCCCTGCCTCAGCCTCCCAAGTAGCTGGGATTACAGGTGCGTACCACCACGCCTGGCTAATTTTTTGTATTTTTAGTAGAGGCAAGGTTTCACCATGTTAGCCAGGATGGTCTCGATCTCCTGAGCTCATGATCCACCAGCCTCGGCCTCCGAAAGTGCTGGGATTACAGGCATGAGCCACCACGCCCTGCAGAGCTCTGGTTTTAAAGCTTATATATATATACAGAAGACTAGAAGGCATTACTCTGACTTTAAATATATATATATATATATATATATATATATATATATATATATATATATATATATATCTTTATATGTAAATATAACACACATATAGAATATGCTTTAAAATTTGACAATTACAAAAATAATGGCAAAAAATTAGGTGTCGATTTTTTAAAGGTATTTACAGCTAGCTGACTTCTAAGACAGCAAGAGTTTAATGGTAATAAAATAAATAATTATGACGAAAATTGAGGTTCCTTCGACTATCTGAACTCAAAGAAGAACCCAACTTTACAAAGTCATAGCCTGTGGAGAGTTCATGGAAAAGGTTGGGCTTGAGCTGAGTTTCAAACATTGACAGCAAAAAGTGCATTTCTCATTGTTTTTTTTTTACTGATTGTGATCCTCTCAAAAGTCACTAACATTTCTGCCCCAAAACAGAGAGTTTAGCAAAGTGTTTGCCCTCAGATTTCCCATATCCACCAAGTCCCCCTGAATATACCACCTCCTACCCTGAACTCTCAGCAGCCTGCCTGCCTGGATTTGTTTTTTTTTTTTTTTTGGATATAGGAATGCATTTGTACTATTGATGCTCCTATCTGGTCCATTTTGAGACCAATATCACCCTTTTGCAAAATCACCCTTCAGGCAGAAGGGTGCAAGCCATGGCTTTAGTAATAATCCTTTTAATTACTATAACTTTCCACTTGCCAACATTTTATATTGTGTAGATCAGTTCAATGGAAAAAGAAGAAGGAGACATGTTGACCCACATAGAGAATCAGATATGTGACCTCCATCTCCCAAAGTTGAACCTCTAACCCTCAAATCCAACGAGCTACAACCTCCAGACAACCATTACCCCTTAAGACTGGTATATATCATGACATTCCTTGTAACATATCAAAACATATTGAATAGAATGTGCACTGCATTTCACCCTTGAAGAACACTAGGTGAATGATCCTATACTCAATATTATTTCACAACCACAGAGACGTATTCAGACACTTCAACCCACATAGAAACATGGAATCTTAGAAAGGGAAGCCACTAGAGAAGCCAGTGAATGCCACCCTGGTATTCGATGAATTCAATGAATATCTGAATTTCCTTCAGAGCACCCCCAAGTCAGTGGCTTGGCCATCTTCTAGAACACTTGCAAACAATGGGATCTTCACAACCTCACAGGGTAGCCTGTCTTATACTCAGACAGTCTTAATATTTGTAAAGTTATTCTATTATCAAGGTAAAATAGGCTTCTCTAATTGTTCTTCCTATTAAACATAGTTTTTTCCTCTGGAAACTCTTAGGGCTCTGGGTTTGAGAGAAAAGTTCTGGCAATTAAATCCCCAGGTGCTGCTGTGGCTGTTATCAGTACATGTCCACTGAGAACAACGAATTTCTTTGGATCCCAGTCCTACCAGGGGCAAATTCTTGTTGAAACTTGCAAAGAGTCACTCTCCAAAGCAAATCAGAGTCTCCTACAACTTCTAAACAATAGTTTGTTTAGTGATAAGTACAAAGTTGCATATCAGCAACAGGGTTTTTAAAAAAGCAGAAACAAAATACACCGATTACATATAATCACATATGTTGAACTATTTCTAGCCTAGATATAATCTTAATATAATGAGTATTGTTACAAGAGATAAAGATAATAATAACAATAATTTTATTTATAAACCATTTTCCAGCCAATGCGCTTGGGGCATTGCATGATCATAAGCAATGATTAAAACACTATTAAAAAACATCAAACAAATAAAACACAAGCTAGTCTTCAGGTAGAAAACGAAGTAGTGCTAAAACAAATCAGAGGCTGGACGGGTACAGTGGCTCACGCCTGTAATTCCAGCACTTTGGGAGGCCAAGGAGGGCAGATCACTGGAGGTCAGGAGTTCGAGACCAGCCTGGCCAATATGATAAAACCCTGTCTCTACCAGAAATACAAAAATTATCTGGGCGTGGTGGTGCACGTTTGAATCCCAGCTACTCCAGAGGCTGAGGCGGGAGGATCACTTGAATCTAGTAGTCAGAAGCTGCAGTGAGCAGAGATTGTGCCACTGCACTACAGCCTGAAAAACAGAGTGAGATTCTGTCTCAGAAAAAAAGAAGAAAAGAAACCAGACATTACTATTAGCAGCACAGAAAAATAGCTGGGCGCAGTGGCTCACACCTGTAATCCCAGCACTTTGGGAGGCCAAGGTGGGTGGATCATGAGGTCAGGAGTTTGAGACCAGCCTGCCCAACATAGTGAAACCCTGTCTCTACTAAAAATACAAAAATTAGCCGGGCATGGTGGCACGTGCCTGTAGTCCCAGCTACTCAGGAGGTTGAGGCAGGAGAACAACTTGAACCTGGGAAGTGGAGGTTGTGGTGAGCTGAGATTGCGCCAGCACCACTGCACTCCAGCCTAGGCAACAGAGCAAGACTCCATCTCAAAAACAAAAGCAAAAAAATTACAGAAAAATGGCACCAGGTATCAGGAGACATCACAGACACTTTTCTTTGTGTTTTTTCCACTCTAGTTACTCCAAAAAAAAAAATCTTAAACCCTCCTTGTCATGATTTCTAACACATTTATTTCCTATGTACCAACTTCTTCTTTAGTTACTGTTCTTTAGATTAAATTTTCTCCCCTCCTTAGATCAAGATCTAATTTTTCTGTCTATTCAATCAAATTCATACCACAAATAGGTTAGTTCATAAAACCATGAAAAACAAAAAAGAAGAGTGATTAACCCATTTCTCCAATACTCGAATTTTGATGTGTTTGTTATGTATTTTGGCTCTATAACCAATGACACTTAAAAAAAGGAAAACAGTCAATGCCCAAACTATAAGCCCACATGACTGTCATTTCCAACTTTTCAGCCATCATGACATCCTTTTGTTTTGAGTTTTGCAATGACCACCAACTCCCTCCTCCCTTCAAAAAAGATGAGGATGGTGTAGAAAGCACTGTTGGTTACCTACGCCACAGCCATTTCCTCCCCCTCCCCTCCTCTCTTCCTGGCTAACAGAACACTATTTTTATTCAAGGATCAGAGGGTCATATGCTCATAGAAAGTGGGGCCCTCCCTCCCCAGCAAGAAAATGTTAAATCTGAGACATGAAGGGTAATTCCACTCCCCCTTGCTAGTAGAGTGTTGGTTCCAGATATGTAATCCAACTCTGGCCAAAGACACATGGCCGGAAGTCTGATAGAACTTCCCAGGAGAGGTCTGCCTCCCTGGCCTGCCTCAGACTGTGCAGATGTGTTCTTTAGAACCAGACTGGCTCTCTTGAAGTCATAAGATACAGAACCATAGAACGAAGTAAGCACACTGGGTTCAGTGGAGTGAAAGATGGAAAGACATGGGGTCCCTGAGGACAGTATCAAGCCAAGCCTGCAACCACCCACATTGCATTTCCTATTGGATGAGAGAATGTCTCCTCCTTGTTCCAATCAATTAAATTGAACATTCTTGACCTCACAACTAAAAACATCCTAGACCACTCAAAAGCGTTTCTTAGTGCATAAAGTGAATTACACACTTTTGGGATTCGTATTTTTAGAAAATACTTACATATAACTAAAAATACTTGAAATCTTTTAAACCAGTTTGAATGTCAGTTGGATAACTTTTCAGTGCCTAACATCTACCAAGCATATTAGCCTAGATCATATTTTTTAATTCCTATAATTACATGTAACATAGGATTATTCCATTTTATAGAAAAGGAGAATCAGAGAAATTAAGTGATTTGCTTAATATCACATAGTTTGGAAGTGTTAGAGCCCGCATTTGAAGACAATTTTCTTTGAGTCAAAGTTTATTTTTCTTTTTACTTCATCAAGGTGCATTTACTGGATTCTTATTCTGGGCTATGCTCCCAGACTTTTTTTCTTAATTTTTAATATTTCAATAGTTTGGGGGGTCCAGGTGGTTTCAGGTTACATGAAAAAGTTCTTTAGTGGTGCCTTCTGAGATTTTAGGGCACCCGTCACCAGAGCAGTATACATTAGACCCAATATAGTGTCTTTTATCCCTCACCCTCCTCCCAACCTTCCCGCTGAGTCCCCAAAGTCCATTATATCTCTTTTTTTTTTAGACGGAGTTTTATTCTTGTTTCCCAGGCTGGAGTGCAAGGCACGATCTCAGCTCACTGCAACCTCCATCTCCTGGGTTCAAGCGATTCTACTGCCTCAGACTCCTGAGTAGCTGAGATTACAGGCCTGTGACACCACGCCTGGCTAATTTTGTATTTTTAGTAGAGACGGGGTTTCACCATGTTAGTCAGGCTGGTCTCGAGCTCCTGACCTCAGGTGATCCACCCGCCTCGGCCTCCCAAAGTGCTGGGATTACAGGCGTGAGCCACTGTGCCTGGCCCCCATTATATCATTCTTATGCCTTCACGTCATCATGGCTTAGCTCTCACTTATAAGTAAGAACATACAGTATTTGGTTTTCCATTCCTGAGTTGCCTCACTTAGAATAATAGCCTCCAGCTCCATCCAAGTTGCTGCAAAAGACATTATTTTGTTCTTTTTCATAACTGAGTAGTATTCCATCTTGTATATAAATCATATTTTCTTTATCCATTCATTGGTGTTTGGGCACTTAAGTTGGTTTCATATTTTTGCAGCCTTTACCTCCCAGGCTCAAGTGATCCTCTTGTCTCAGCCGCCTGAGTAGCTGAGACCACAGGCATGAGCCACCATGCCCGGCCCAAAGACTTAATATTGACAATTATCTTAACCCCACAGGTTAACCCTTAAACCTCAAGGCCTGATAAGATTGTTGTCAATATTAAGTCTCCGGGCCTGGCACAGTGGCTCACACCAGTAGTGGAATATTATAGTAGGTTCCAATATGACTCCACAAATTGCCAACAGGGTCTTAAGTTTTGTATTGGAACCTCAGTTGAAATATTCCATTACTGTGAAGATTTTTACTTAGTAGGATCTCAAAAAAATCAAGATCATATTTGATGAACTGCATGGTCCTATAAAAACTTGGGTTCGATGTGTAATGAAAAGCTGAAAATATGCTTCCCACAGTTGACATATTTTTCATTAACCAATATGACAAAAGGACAACTTAAAAATGTGGGAGTTGTTCAATTGTTTCTCCCTTTCCTGACGGGTGACTTCCAGACACGTAACTTGGTCTTTATCTTATGGCGTAACCCTACCAAAAAGAAATCTCTGGCCGGGCGCGGTGGCTCGTGCCTGTAATCCCAGCACTTTGGGAGGCCAAGGCAGGTGGATCACTTGAGACCAGGAGTTCAAGACCAGCCTGGCCAACAGAGTGAAACCCCATCTCTACTAAAAGTACAAAAATTAGCTGGGTGCGGTGGTACGGTACCTGTAATTCCAGCTACTCGGGGGCCTGAGGCAGGAGAATTGCTTGAGCCCAGGAGGCGGAGTTGCAATGAGACAAGGTTGCACCACTGCACTCCAGCCCGGGTGGACTCCATCTAAAAAAAAAGTACCTAATGTAGATGACAGGTTGATGGGTGCAGCAAACCACCATTGCACATGTATACCTATGTAACAAACATGCATGTTCTGCACATGTACCCCAAAACTTAGAGTAAAAGAATAATAATAATAGGCCGGGTGCAGTGGCTCATGCCTGTAATCCCAGCACTTTGGGAGGCCGAGGCGGGCGGATTACGAGGTCAAGAGATCGACACTATTCTGGCTAACACAGTGAAACCCCGTCTCTACTAAAAATATTTTTAAAAAATTAGCAGGGCGTGGTGGCGGGCGCCTGTAGTCCCAGCTACTCGGGAAGCTGAAGCAGGAGAATGGCGTGAACCCGGGAGGCGGAGCTTGCAGTGAGCCGAGATCGCGCCACTGCCCTCCAGCCTGGGTGACAGAGCGAGACTCCGTCTCAAAAAAAAAAAAAAGAAAAAAAAAGAATAATAATAATAATAATAAATCCCTGGATCACCATGAAAAGCAAATGTTCAGTGCTGCTCAACAAAGAAAAACATTTTAATTTTTCTTATTAGTCAAGAATTTATTGGATTTTTGCCTTTGGGGTGGCATAGATTGATGTAAATTGATTCACTCACTCAACAAAGCTGTCCTGAGTATGCAGCACTCTGCTTGGTACTGAGGATGCCCTGGTAAGCCAGGCACACACCTCCTGGCTCCCGTGAAAGTGCTGTTATTCTAAGGCAAGCAGATAATAAATGAGCAAGTAAATAGATGAATAAGGTCTCAGATTGTAATGGCACAACGAAGAGAACAAAATGGGAGAAAAGAAGGGCCAACATTTGATAGCGCATGAGAAAGGCTCCTTACTTCAAAAAAGCTGGCATTTCATTCATGACCACATTGGATGGAACCGAAGGGCAGTGTTTGAAATGAAATAATCCAGGAACAGAAAGTTAAACACTGCTTAGTATCACTCATATGTGGAAGCTAGAAAGAAAGTTGATCTCATAGAAATAAAAAGTAGAACAGAGGATATTAGAGGTTGGGAAGGACAGGGAGAAGGGGTGGATAGGGAGAGATTTTTTAAAGTATACAAAATTACCACGAGATAGAAGGAGTAAGTTCTAGTGTTCTGTAGCGCTGTAGGATGATTACAGTAACAACAGAAGGTCAGGCTGTTTCTCACACCTGTAAACCCAGCACATTGGGAGGCCGAGGCAGGCAGATTGCTTGAGCCCAAGAGTTCAAGACCAAAAAATTAGTGGGGCACAGTGGCGCACACCTGAAGTTCCAGCTATTTGGGAGGCTAAGGCAGGAGGATTGATTGGGCCCGGGAGGTAGAGGCTGCAGTGAGCTATGATCACACCACTGCACTCCAGCCTGGGTGACAGAGAGAGACCCTGTCTCAAAAACAAAACAAAACTAAACAATAATATACTACATAGCTTCAAATAGCTAGATGGGGGATACTGAATGTTCTCAGCCAAAGAAATGATAAAAGTCATTTTCATTGAGATGATGGATATGCAAATTACCCTGATCTGATCACTGTACCTCATATGTATTGCAACATCACTATGATCCCCATGAATATGTACAATTATTATTTGTCAATTCAAAAATAAACTTTTAAACTGACTTTAGAATGGTAACATGAATGAAAGAGGTGCCTGCGAAGATGCAGAAGAAAAGTGTTGGACTCAGAGGAAACAAGAAGGGCCAATGTTCTGAGGCAGGGGTAAGAAGTGCATGTTCCAGGAGCAGCATGGCCATCATCAGTCCGTAACTCCAGCCTCCCATATCTTGCTGCCCTGCAAAACTCCACTTCGTGGCTAAGAATTTCCAGCTTCACATCTCAAACCCTCAGCTCCTCCCTTCCTCCCTTCAGGATCGGCTCCCTGAAGCCATCCCCATCCCAGCTGCTGGCAACTCCATTCCTGCCTGGTGTCATCTTTGTGCCTCTCTTTCTCTCTCTACTCCCCATTGAATCTGGCAGGAAACCATGACTCCACTTTCCCAGAAAATACAGAATTTGATCTCATCTCACCACTTCCATTGCTGCTGCCCAGGGCAGACAGCTATTATCTCTAACCCAGATTATTACACAGGGATAGGACCAGGGTGAGGCAAGATTGGCCCCCGGGGTACAAAATTGAAAGAGACACTCCCTCTCCAGATGCTTTGCACAGCCCTGGGAGTGAGGACCTCCTCACATTTCGTACCCTAGGGGCCTAAACTTACTTCACTTTAGCTCTGGCCCAACTATTGCAATCAACTGCAAACTCTCTCCTATATGAGTCCTTGCCTATGGGCTACTGTCAACACAGCAGCCACAGAGATGCTTTTTATTATTTTTTATTTTACTTATTTATTTTTTCTTATTATACTTTGAGCTCTGGGGTACATGTGCAGAATGAGCAGGTTTGTTACATAGGTATACATGTGCCATGGTGGTTTGCTGCACCCATCAACCCATTACCTACATTAGGTATTTCTCCTAATGCTGTCCCTCCCCTAGCCCACTAACCCCCGACAGCCCCAATGTGTGATGTTCCCCTCCCTGTGTCCATGTGTTCTTATTATTTAACTCCCACTTATGAGTGAGAATATGCAGTGTTTGGTTTTCTGTTCTTGCGTACAAATGCAAAAACATTCCATGCTCCTTGGATAGGAAGAATCGATATCGTGAAAATGGCCATACTGCCCAAAGTAATTTATAGATTCAATGCTATCCCTATCAAGCTACCATTGACTTTCTTCACAGAATTGGGATGCTTTTTAAACATAAACAAATCATGCTCTTCCCCTGCTAAAGACCCTGAGACAGCTGCCCATCTCACAAAGAGCGAAAGCTAACATCCATGGAGAGCCGACACTGACTCCTCGGCTGGCTTCCTCACTGAATCTTGAATGCAACAAACGTATTCCCACCTCAGGACTTTTAGTCTAGACACTGTCCCTCCCAGATCACTCTCTCCCTCCTACCAGCCTTGGCTAATTCTTTTTCCTGTTTCAACTCTTTGCTCAAATTTCACCTTTGACCTGTGGCCTGCCCTGACCAGCACTGCAGGCTGCCTCAAGACCCTCCCATTGGTACCCCTGTCCCTAACCCAACTCAACTTTTTTCTGTAGCACTGACCACTTCCTAACCCACCAAGGAACTAAATTCCTCTCTCCCTGTGCTAAAAGGTAAACTCTGTGAGTGCAGGAATTTTGTGTTCTTTGTTCTCTGCTCTATCTCTGGAGCCCAGAAAAGTGCTAGGCACATAGAAAACACTGTAATAAGGCTGGGTGCACTGGCTCATGCCTGTAATCCCAGCACTTTAGGAGAACAAGGCCAGCGGATCACTTAAGGTCAGGAGTTCGAGACCAGCCTGGCCAACATGGTGAAGCCCAATCTCTACTAAAAATACAAAACAATAGCTGGCTGTGGTGGCAGGTGCCTGTGATCCCAGCTACTTGGGAGGCTGAGACAGCAGAATCACTTGAACCAGGGAGGTAGAGGTTGCAGTGAGCTGAGATTCCACTGCACTCTAGCCTGGGGGACAGAGCGAGACTCCGTCACCAAAAAAAGAAAAGAGAGAGCACTGTAATAAATAGTTGTGCAATGAGCCAATTAATGCAAGAGTCTAAGAAGTGACCAGTTGTGCTGGGAAATGCAGATGAAGAAGAAGAAAAGAGCCAGATCATTGTAGGAACTCGTAGGCTATGAGAAGCGTTTGGAATTTATTCTGACCACAAGCATTGTGTTTGGAATCATTGGTGGGTTTACAACAGATTTCTGTTTTAAAGTAATCTGCTTGTTATGTGGAAATGGATGAGAGAGACAAGCAGATGTGATGGGTTTGGGGTTGAGACAATGGCAGAAAAAATGAGAAGAAATGAATGGCTATTTCAGAAGTTGAGCCAACAGGAATTACTGATGAATCAGCAGGGTGAACTGCCTTTAGAAGAGGAATCCTGATATAGTGAAAATAGTAGAAGGTTTGTCAGGGACAGAGGTAGACAAATTTTCAAGACAGGTGGAATCAAAAGATCTGTATTTAAAGATGTTAGGCTGGGCAGGATGGCTTACGCCTGTAACCCCAGCACTTTGAAAGGCCGAGGCAGGCAGATCACTTGAGGTCAGGAGTTTGAAACCAGACTATCCAACATGATGAAACCCTTTCCCTACTAAAAATACAAAAATAGCCAGGCATAGTGGTGCATGGTTGTAATCCCAACTACTTGGGAGGCTAAGTCGGGAGAATCGCTTGAACTGAGAAGGCTGAGGTTGCAGTGAGCAGAGATTGCATCACTGCACTGCAGCCTGGGTGACAGAGCAAGACTCTAAGACTCTGTCTCAAACAAACAAACAAACAAAAAAGAACAAAAAGGTGTTAGCCTGGGCAGCACAGTGAGACCAAGTCTCCACATAAATTTTTTTTAAAAATTAGCAGGGCATGGTGGTGCACTGCTGTACTCAGGAGGCTGAGTTTGGAGGATTGCTTGCACCAGGAGGTCAGGGCTGCAGTAAGCCATGATTGTGACATGGCACTCCAGCCTGGGCAACAGAGCAAGACCATGTTTTGAAAAATAAATAAATAAATAAGTAAAGATGTTAATTTTGAGATGCCTGTTAGATATCCAAGTAGAAATATAAGAAGGTGATTGAAGAAGCCTGCTGTACAGGGGAGAGGTCAAAGGGGAGATAAAAATAGATTCATCAGCACATGGGTGGTGTGTACAGTCATGTGTCTAGATGAGGTCACCTAAATGTACACAACAAGGAAAAGAGAAACAGAGGGAGCCCAGAACTGAAGACATGAAAGGGAACGACATTATCCAGAAGGCTTCCCTCCTGCCCACTCCTCAAACTCTTGGAGTTTCCCTTGTGTTCAGAAATCTTTCTTTCTCAGCCTCCTTTTGGATATTCACAGGCACTGTGCATTTCTGCCCCTCACCATTATCTCCTCCAAAGCATTTGCAAATCCTTGGCCTTGGCTTTCCAAACCTGAAGCTATTTCCAGCAGTCCTTCAACTCAGTCAATTTGTCAGTAAACTCACTGTTAAAACACATACACAAAAACAATTATGTAAACTAAAAGAAGTTTTATTTCCAACTCTAATTTATTTTTTAATCTCCTTTTCTCTCCAAAATGCATACAATGGTCTTTGTGCAGGTGAGAGACAAGAAAGAAATCATTCCCAGTTAACATTTTTCAGAAATGTTCTGGGTGCTTGATATTTCTCTGTCACCCTACTTTAGTCTCATTTCAGGGAGTGGGTCCAAAATCCTATCCCTAGAACAAGCAAGTAGTGTTGTGGTGACCTCCAAGTAGCTTGTTTTACATCAAGGAAAGGAAGATGGAGGTGGATGAGAAGGTAAATGACTCCAGGAGAAATATGGAATTATTAACTGAGGATACTTCTGAAGATTTTTTTTTCTAAGACAGGGTCTTGCTCTGTCACTCAGGCTGGAGAGCAGTGGTGCCACCTTGGCTCATTGCAGCCTCTACCTCACAAGCTCAAGCAATCCTCCCACCTCAGCTTCCTGAGTAGGTGGGACCAGAGGCATGTGTCATCACGCCTGGCTAATTTTTGTATTTTTTGTAGAGATGGGGGTTTCACCATGTTGGCCAGACTGATCTCAGGCAATCCTCCCTCTTAAGCCTCCCAAAATGCTGAGATTACAAGCGTGAGCAACGGTGCCTGGCCTGAAGATACCTTATAATGACTTGACCTATGTAGCTGAGGTCATTTGATCCTAGAAAGAACATAGAAATTATGGTTTGAAACTGACTCACAAGCTAAGGCATTGCATCTCATCTTAAATGTCCATTAAACATCACACAATGACAAACTGTGGTCAGAATCAAGCCTAGAACTCTACTCCAAAGTTCTAAACCCAAACACCATATCCTCCCTACTGATGACAAGCCCGGGGTGGACGTCGTCAGCCTCCCACAGCTAATAGTAGGTCATCCACTTCTGAAGGGTCTTTCCACTGTTTGTTTTCTCTTGCTCTTATCACTAAGGTGGATGGTATTAGATATGTTTCTTTTTAGCAAGTATGAGGTAAGCAGAGGTCAAACTAGTGTCAAACAGAGATGTAGAAAAGCAGATATGGTTACAGTGCAAACCCACGAGCCTAAAGTAAAAACAAAAGAATTCTTTCAGCGACACTTCAAAACCAATTGAAACCAAAGTGATGATCTCGGGGCCACTTTCCAGATAGAAGTCAAGCCCCGACCTTCATGCTTAAGGGCTCTTGTGTACTGAGCTGACAGAGGTAAACATTGATCTGAAGCGACCACTTCATTTTTCCTCTCTCAAAGCCAGTTGTGGGTGCCATTCTAGTACCTCCTTCAGCAGGCAATTAAATTTGAGAGAGGTTGGAAACAAAAGCTAGAAAACCCTATGATATCCAGCCCTTAATCCTCTCTGCTGAATCTATTCCAATCCCTTAGGTGGAAGGAGGTAGCATACTTCTTCAGAGCTACTATTTACTCAAGGCAAGAGAGCAATAAACAAGGTCAGGGTATTACTATGCATTTATCTCTTCCACTGTATGTGCCAAGGGGATAAGGACCACACCTTTATTTTCATCATTATTCAATTTCCAGGGTTTGGCACATAATCCAAACTCAATACCTATTTCTGGAATGGATTCTCTGTCTCTTAAATTTTCAGTGTCTCAATGTCCTTGTACCTTTCAAATCAGTTAACAAGAAGAATAGACCCAGAGGAATCTCTTATTTTATTCTCATCTTTACTTGCCACATCATTTCATTTTGGCTAAACCTAGTCTCTCTAGTTCCACTTTTCTTCCCCAACCCCATCATTTTTTTTTCACAAGCCCTCAGTCCTTTCAGTTAGACATTTTCCCTCTTCAAGCCCCACCATGCTCTTTCCTGGTGATGCTTCCTCCTCTGCCTTGTATTTTATATCACTCTCACCTGCCTTGCCTCTTTTCACACTCCCACATCTTTGTCTTCCAAGGTGACCTGTGTAGAAATAAAGCTGTGGAGAAATAGGAATGCTTTTGCACTGTTGGTGGGAGTGTAAATTAGCTCAACCATTGTGGAAGGCAGTGTGGCGATTCCTTAGTGACCTAGAACCAAAAATACCATTCGACCCAGCAATCCCATTACTGGGTATATACCCAAAGGAATAAAAATAATTCTATTATAAAGATAAATGTACACATATGCTCATTCCAGCACTATTCACAATAGCAAAGACATGGAATCAATCCAAATGCCCATCAATGATAGACTGGGTAAAGAATGTGTGATACATAGACACTGTGGAATACTATGCAGCCATAAAAAAGAATAAGATTGTGTCCTTTGCAGGGACATGGATGGAGCTGGAAGCCATTGTCCTCAGCAAACTAACACGGGAACAGAAAACCAAACACCACATGTTCTCATTTATAAGAGGGGGCTGAATAATGAGAACACATGGACACAGGGAAGGGAACAACACACACTGGGGCCTGTCAGGGGGTGGGGTCACGGGAGAGCACCAGGATAAAAAGCTAATGCATGTGGGGTTTAATACCTAGGTGATGGGTTGATAGGTGCAGCAAACCACCATGGCACAGGATTACCTGTGTAACAAACCTGCACTTTCTGCACATGTACCCCAGAACTTAAAATAAAATAAAATCTTCAATCAGCCTTTCAGTCATGATATAATGTGAAGTGCTATGTGGAGGTACACTAAGAAGCAATGTAAACCCAACCCTGGTTCAGGGGCTTGATTCCAGTTTGTGTTAGATTTTAGCTGGTCAACAACACTTTACTATCAAAAGCACTTACTTCCTATGCTCTAATAATTTAATAAATTCAGTCTTGATAGATTGAGTTACAGCTTCAGCTTCAGTTGATGTAATCAATATGATTTATTCTTAACTCCTCCATTACAATAAACAAATAAAAATACATAAGTAAAAATATTATTTGAACTACTTCATAACTACATTTTTGTTTTGTTTTGTTTTTTGTTTTTTGTTTTTTTTTTGAGATGGAGTCTCACTCTGTTGCCCAGGCTGGAGTGTATTGGCATGATCTCGGCTCACTGCAACCTCCACCTCCCAGGTTCAAGTGATTCTCCTGCCTCAGCCTCCCAAGTAGCTGGGATTATAGGCACCCACCACCAAGCCTGGCTTTGTATTTTTAGTAGAGATGGGGTTTTGTCATGTTGGTCAGGCTGGTCTCAAACTCCTAATGTAGGGTGATTCACCTGCCTCAGCTTCCCAAAGTGCTGGGATTACATGTTAGATATTTTGCTGTTTGAGTTGAGTAGCACTGGACAATGAATAGCACATTAACTAGCTGTGCAGGCCAGATGTGGAGGCTCACACCTGGAATCCCAGCACTTTTGGGGGCCAATGCAGGAGGATCACTTGAAGACAGGAGTTCAAGACCAGCCTGAACAACATAGGGAGACCACGTCTCTACAAAAAAAAAAAAAAAAAAAAATTAATAAAAAACTAGCTGCGCAACCTTGGACCCATCATTTTCTGTCCCAGATCCTAGACGGTAAATGCACAAAGATCATGATGGCAATATCTCACCAGAGACTTCTACTCATCTTCATAATTGGTCCTAAAGTGAAATCACTTCCAAAACAAAGGCTCCGTTTGATAAGTGTCCTGCAAACACAGGCCAGTCCAGGGCACATAATGGGTGCACAATAAACCTTGACCAGATAAATGAATCTCAACATCTCGTTATTTTTGTGAAGATTAGGTGCAATAAGAAATGTAAAGACACTATGCAAACTATAAAACAACATGCAAATAGAATGCTGTTGTAACAAAAATCTAAAATGTATGTCATTGAGTCTGAGGGTGGCATAACAGATACTGCAGTTCAGAAAGCATTGTTCTGGAAGGTTAAGCTTTTCTGTAAGAGAACACATGTTCTAGTCCCAGTTTTAATCATATTTGCCTCTTCTGAACTTCTATAGAACTTTTTGTTTGTTTGTTTGTTTTGCTTTTTATTATTACTTTTTTTTTTTTTTTTGAGACAAAGTCTCACTCTGTCGCCCAAGCTGGAGTGCAATGGTGTAATCTTGGCTCATTACAACCTCTGCCTCCTGGGCTCAAGTAATCCTCCCACCTCAGCTTCCCCAGTAGCTGGGACTACAAATGTGTGCCTCCATGCCCAGCTACTTTTTGTTTTGTTTTTTAGGTTTTTTGGGTTTTTTGTGTGGTGGGAGTCTCACTTGTTGCCCAAGCTGGTCTCAAACTTTTGGACTCAAATGATCCTCCTTCCTCAGCCTCCCAAAATGCTGGACTTACAGGTGTGAGCCACTGTGCCTGGTCTAATTTTTGTTTGAATCTTACTTCGTCCTTTATCTGATTAGTCAGGATGTTGAAGGAGTTCTTAGTATCCCCTAATAATAATTCATGACACTTGTGTATAGTTTTTACAGACTGCATATCTGTTATACCATTCCCAGACTCAATGACATATATTTTAGATTTTTATTACAACAGCATTTTGCTTCAGGTACCAACTTTTATAACAAGAAAATAAAAGCCTTAGCTACTCTAAAAGACAACCAATAATACAGTGGCTTAAATAACAGAGAGGCATATGTCCTCCTCATGTCACAGCCCAGAGCAGAGAGGCGAAGTTGTTCTACTAAATGTGATCACTAATGGTCCAAGCCCTTCTCAATCGTTTGCATTCCGGAGGGTGTTGTCTTCACCTGTGTGGTCAAAGCTGGTTATCAGCTTATCAATGTTCCAGTTCACGGGAAAAAGAGCAAGAAAGGGACGTGTGTAATATTTTAAGGCCTGAGCCTGAGAGTTCCGCACATCATTTCCAGTTACCTTCCACTGACTGGAACTTAGTCACATGGCCCAAACCTACCTTCAGTGGCATCTGGGACATGCACACTAGGCAGCCACAACCCCAGACACACAGCTCTATAGCTCAGCAAATGTTAGTGAACTACAAGCCAAAGAAGGCTTTGTGAAAAACTTAGGACTTCATGTAGGCATTGAGGGATGTCTAAGATCAGAATAGAAAGCTAGAAAGACTCATAAGTATAAAGAGTGAATTCCCGGCTTCCGCCTTGACTGCTACCAAAGATCCTACTTCTTAGTTTAATCCGTGCATTCTTTTTAAACAAATTCTGAAGAGAAAAATGATAGAACATTGTTCCCCCCTCAAAATCATATTGTAGATCTTTAAAATAAAGATACATAGGCACAGAACAATAATTTCCCTTGGAATAATCATGGATATATGAAGGAAATTTAACAATAGTTCAAGCGCTTGTAACATAATCATTAATATATAGAAATAAATTTGTAAGACTTTTTCATTGCAACAACTTCTGAACAATGCTCTCTATGGAGTTAATACAATTTGGGTTACAAAATTAGCAACAACAAAAAATCAACAAAGCAAGTTTTTTTTAATTCTTTCATTTTTCTCAGCTCTGGGAATGACTTGGTGACACCTCTAAATATCAGGGAATGTAATGCAGAATATGAAGAGCTAACTATGAAGGACAGTTAGGAGTTTTGTCATGTGGAAAAGAGCAGAAAGATACCCTAAGGAAACGTGCTCTGGGCTGGATGCGGTGACTCATGCCTGTAATCTCAGCACTTTCAGAGGCTGAGGGGGGCGAATTGCTTGAGGCCACGATTTCAAGATCAGCCTGGGCAACATAGCAAGACCCTGTTTCTATAAGGATTTTTTGAAAAGGAAAGAAGAAAGAAAAGACATACCTGCTCTGACAGGCACCATACGAAACAGAATACACACATTTTTGCAATTAAATCTCCATGCAAACCATGATTGTTTTTATTATTCTAAAATGGAGTTCTAGTCAAGTTGCTAGTGTAGGCAATGTGCCTTGGCATCTAAAAAGAACCAAGAGTAAATTATTTCCAATGTGTGTCCTTGTCACGCTGTTCACTGCCACTCACACTTGGCCCCACATTGATTCATTGCTCATATGAGCAGCCTGGGAGCAGGTACCCTGCCACGGCCTCCTCTGCAGCTCCTATTCTTGCTCATCTCCAATTCATCCTCCACACAGCAGCCATGAAATGCATTTAACTTTTTTTTTTTTGAGACAAGGTTTCACTCTGTGGCCCAGGCTGGAGTGCAGTGGTGCAATCACAGCTCACTGCAGCCTCAACACCCCAGGCTCAATCGATCCTCCTACCTTAGCCTCCCGAGTACCTGTGGTGCATGCTACCACACCCAGCTAATTTTTGTATTTTTTGTAGAGACACGGTCTCATTATATTGCCCAGGCTGGTCTCGAGCTCCTGGGCTCAAGCGATTGACCTGCCTCAGCTTCCCAAGGTGCTGGGATTACAGGTGTGAGCAGTGGCACCCAGCTAACATTTGAATATGAATTGTATCACATGGCTCAGAGCCCTCCACTGACTTCCCATTGTGCCCTCATTCACCTGGCTCACAAGACCCCACCTGGGTGCTCTGGTTTGCTATTCCTGCGTCATTTTGCACTACCTCCCCCCACCCCTTATTTTTGTTGGAGCTCAGAAAACGATACCCTAAAGTATGATGCTTTGGCAAGCTGAGAGCTTTGAACTAAAGAGATTGGAAGGTCTCAGGAGTAACGTCTCTCTCTGACCTTCTCCTGCCCTCCTGTCTCTCACTCCTCTTTCCTCTCCAGAGTGGGCCCCAGAAACTGGAACCCCTCTACCCCAAGCTAGCCATAAGACCTAGAAATATGAATCTAAACTTTCCTGCCTTTCAGTGTAGGAGCTGGCCATAAAGAAAGTCTCTGACCTACCTTGTCAGATTGTGGGTCATGGGACCCTCATTCCATATGGGTCCTGCCCTGTACTCAGGAGGAAGGAATGCTGCTCAGAGAGGCCAGGAAGAATCTGAACAGACGGGCCTTGCTGGGTGTCCCCCTCGGTCTATGACATCAGGTCATTCCCTTTGGTCTAGTCATATTTCTATACAGCTGTTCATTCTTCATCGAATCCAAGCATAAAAATGGACAGTTTTCCCTGGGTCTTTGGGGGTCTTCATTTTTGAGGTCTCCTGTGTCTTGTAAAACTCTGATTAAATAAATCTGTTATGTTTTCTCTTGCTAACCTGTCTTTTGTTTCAGGAGTGCTGGCTGTGACCTTTATGATGGGTGAGGGAAAGGATCACACTGTTCCGCCCCTATATTTCCCACCACCCAGCCACACTTGTGCTCAGCTCCCCAAAAAGCCCAAGCCCTCTCCTCCTCCCTTGGGCCTCCTGTGCACTATGCCTGATCCTATCCTATCCCCGGGATGCCCCTTCTCCTCTCGCTGCACTCCTGGAGGCCTCAGCTGAAACGTCGCTTCCCCAGAGAATTCCTCTGGCGTCTCATCTGAACATGCTCCTTCCCTCCCCAACCCTATTCTCTTCTCTGCTAACACCCTGCTCTTTTTCTTCATGGGAGATTCCACAGTTTTTAATGATATATTCAGATACAGCTTAATGCCAATTTCCGTCACTCAACTGTAGCAATATGAAGGTCAAGGGACCCATCTACCAGGTTCTCCACCAGAAACCCAGTGCCAGCCACAGAACGCAGCATGCAGCACATGCTTAAAGAAATGTTGTTGAGTAAGGTTAAAAGTCGTTTAAATTTAAAAATAAATTTTAAATAAAATATTTAATGTTTAATTATTAAGGAGTCTAGATGAGCTGTGATAAACCCACTGAAAGGACTTACCTAAAATTGTATTATTGATTTATGCAAAAGGCATAAATAAAGTGGCTCTTGCTGTAATCCTAGCACTTTGGGAGGCCAGGGCAGAAGGATCACTTGAAACCAGGAATTCAAGACTAGCCTGGGCAACAAAGTGAAACCCTGTCTCTTAAAAAAGGAAAAAAAAAAAAAAAACCTTATTTTAAAAAACCGAGTACCTATCGTGGGTCTGATTCCTGTTCTCTAAAAGCTTTCATTTACTTTCTCATGAGATTCTCTTTCTGTTTTTATTTTTATTTTTGAGACAGAGTCTCACTCTGTCACCCAGGCTGGAGTGCAGTGGCGCAATCTCGGCTCACTGCAACTTCTGCCTCCTGGGTTCAAGCGATTCTGTGCTTCAGCCTCCCAAGTACCTGGGATTACAGGTGTGCACAATGTCCAGCTAATTTTTTGTATTTTTAGTAGAGACGGGGTTTCACCATGTTGGCCAGGCTGGTCTGGAACCCCTGACCTCAAGTAATCCACCTGCCTCGGCCTCCCAAAGTGCTGGGATATTGCAGGCAGGAGACACCGCGCCCAGCCATGAGATTCTCTTTCAATACATATATATAACTTGAGCACACAATCCTATCCAGAAGACGTTCTTCTTTCTTTCTTGGTGTCTTTCACGCTGTAGGGGTGACATGAGCAATTTCCTAATTGAAATGAAGATTTCAAGACAGACATGAAATGAAATATTACTCCCTACTGCTCTGGTGATTGGTTGACCACTCTTATTTTGAAGAATAATTGGAACCACAGTAAGAGAATCTAGGTGTAAAGAAGAAATTTTTGAGTTCCACAATGACAGAATTCACTGAATCATATGGCCAGGGGTAACTTTCCCTACCTAGGGAAAGTCAAAACAGAAAGGCTAAGAGAAATAAAATATGACCCATGAGTATCTCTTCTGTCCCATTCTGGTTGATGTTTTACAAGCATTATTTTGATAATTGGGAAAAATAAGAAGGAAATGCTTGAGTCCTCTCAGTGATTATGGGAGGTTAAACTACTCCAAATCAACAGTGTGAGTGGGCTGGGCACAGTGGCTCACACCTTTGATCTCAGCACTTAGGGATGCAAGGCAGGAGGATCCCTTGAGTCCAGGAGCTCAAGACCAGCTGGGCAACGTAGAAAGACCCCATCTCTACAAAAAAATAAAAATTGTTATTTAATTAGCCCAATGTGGTGGCACATGCCTGTAATCCTAGCTACTTGGGAAGCTGAGGTGGGAGGATCATTTGAGCCCAGGAGTTTGAGATTACATTGCGCTATGATTGCGCCACTGCACTCCAGCCTGAGTGACAGAGTGAGACCCTGTCTCAATGAAAATAATAATAGTAATAATAATGCTAACAGAGTAGAAATGGGTCAAATGCTATGTTGAAGAGATTCTGGGCAAAATCAACCCTTCAAGACTTGGGGTTCTGGAATACCTTTTGCAAGGCTGATCTCATTCATAGGTATTCATTTATTAATCTCTTTTTTTCATCAATTCCTTTATTCATAGATTCATTCAACAACTATTTCATTTTTTTCTAAACCCTATTTTTTTTCTGAGGAATATGACAAAATATATTTGGCTTTTCTAATGGGAATGACTTTCTTAAAGTCTTGGAAAGCATGGTTTCAAAAAAAAAAAAAGTCAGACTTACTGCCACTGTTCTTCAAGTAAACCTCCATTCACCCCAGCTCAGCTGTGAGTCTCTCCTTTAGGACTGTCTCTCAAAGGAGATCAGTTGTACCCAGGCTTTGGGAAGTAGAATATTTAACTCAATTATGTCTGTTTGACCAGAGATAAGAAATCTCTGGCTTCTTGCATTAAAAGATAAACCTGCAGGCATTAACTCCTAGGGCCCAAGGTGCTCTCAGGTGGAATTCACAGGCACCCTCCCATCATGGCTCCAGAATGCTGGTTTTGTCTTAAGGATTCTGTTTGTAAACTCCCTTGGAGGAACTCACAGTCTCTATTTACATGAGCCTTTGCCCAGCATTTATTTGCAAGACTGCAGGACAAACAAAACATCACACAGGGAAAGAAGGGGGGTTAAAAAAAAGAAAGCTCCTCATATTATCTCTCAAGGTCCTCCCCATTTTGACAAAAGGTTGCATCCTCTTACCCTGTCTCCTACAGTCAGAGGCAAACACAAGCTCTGTTCTAACACAGGGATTGGGTTTAGATAGTAGATCTAATCTGACCTGTGTCTGCCTCTAGGGCAGCTTAGAAAAAATACCTGGTGAGTTGTTAAATTTTTGACATTTTTACTACTAACTCTGCTATTGACTAAACAAGGAGTAATTACTGTAGCAACTTCCAGTATAAATTGTTAAGAATCATCCAATCAGCTGGTTGCACCTATCATAGTGAGGGGTGGAGCTGTGAGCTTTTAATTAGTACATGCCATTCTGAAAATTAAAAATCACCTCAGAGAAAATAGCAAAGACTTAACAAGTCATAACCTTTCCTCCAAGTGAATGAACTGAAAATAGAGTAAATAATCTAATGCTTTGCACCAAGTCACACAGAACCCAAATCTTTGTTCTGGAAGAGAACATAGAAATTATCATTTTCAAGTGCTCATTTTATAAACAAATAAACTGATTTTCAGAGAGAAAAATAAGCTGGGCGTGGTAGCTCACGCCTGTAACCCCAGCACTTTGGGAGGCCAAGGCAGGAGGATCCCTTAAGCCCAGGAGTTTAAGACTAGACTGGGCAACACAGTGAGACCCCTACTCTACAAAAATATATTTATATATTAGCCAGGCATGGTGGCACACACCTGTAGTCCTGGCTACTTGGGAGGTTGAGATGGGAGGATCGCTTGAGCCTAGGAGTTTGAGACTGCAGTGAGCAGTGAGCTATGGTTGTACCACTGCACTCCAGCCTGGGTGACAGAGTGACACCCCATCTAAAAAAAAAAAGAAAAAGAAAAAGAAATGTGACATGCCATGCACAGTAGGTGAGTGGGTTTCCTGGCTCCTTCCTAGGGGCTGTGAGTGATGATGACCTTAACTTAAGATCAGAGCGTGATTCTAGTACATTCAAGAGTCCAGAGATAGTGACACACAACATTTGAAATCAGGACTGTCCCAGAAATCCTAGGTCACCAAAATTAGACCATACTCTGCTGTTTGGTAACTGGAGCCAAGCCTGGAGCAGAAATCACCTTGAGGAATCTCATTCTCTCACCCATCAAGCATGATGGCATCCTGGGCTAGGTTTCTTGCCCTGCAGACCACCCAACTCCTCTGCTACACAGCCATCCAAAATCTCACCTTGGTTCAGAGCCGATGAGCCTTCATGGCTTGCCTTTCTCCTGAGGTCACAGTTTTGTCCCAAACCTTTCCAGATGAAGCAGTTAGTAGTTTTCTAACTGCAGGATTACAAAGGTGCTTCCAGTGTTTCTGCGAATGTCTGTCTTATTATTGAACCCATTTTCCCCAAGAACAAGGAGAAAAAAGCTATTAGCAAGGAAGATCCTACTGCACATGTGTGTCTATAAATTCTACTTACCACATTGGATGCTTGACTCAGAGCAGACAATGGTTCCATCATTATAACTGTAATGCTTTGTAGCATTTTCACCTGATTCGTACACAGCATTCATAAAGAGGTCTACATATTTTATTAGCTCACTAGCTATCTACATACCTCTGTATCTTCTATGAAATGCACCTCATTTCTACATTTTGCATTTTTATTTCTGGAGTACAAAATGTGGTAATAGGTTATATCAACGTACAAAAACTGGATGAGAATTGGATATTCACTTTAGACATATCTGGTTTGAAATAAACTACTTAATTTTACAAGGAAGAGGAGGAAAAAAGAGGTTAAAGCATTTCAGACCAATGAACACATCATATTACCAGGTGGTCTTGAATGCGTGTTCCCTTGTGTTTCTCGGGTTGACATGTTTTTGTTTAAATTATGGAATGTATCTATTACACACTTATGTCATCAATCCCTCAGAGGATCAGTACAGATTTCTGTAACTATTGGGGGAAGTGCAGGGAGCTTAAATAGCACACTGGTTCGGCCTCCCTCCAAGTGTGTCCCAAGGAACACAGGCAAAGAGAAGAGAGGGACTCCTTAGCCAAATAACTTGGGAAATAACTAGATTAAATAAAATAGATTTCGTAAGTACTCGAAGAGCCTTATTATGTTAAGGTCATTATGAATCACCACGAAGTAGCTCTATGTACACCCTTTCTCTAACTTTGTTGGTCATGGGTTTCTTTTTTAAGGAGTATCTCATGGGCCTAATGCTCTTCAGATTGAAAGTAATAATAATGATGATGATGACCATGTCTGAGCTCTTACTCTAAACCAGGCACTATACAAAGCACTTCACATTGTATCTCATTTAACCTTTCCAATGACCCTCATCCATAGGTCCTACTATATCCTCATTTTACAGAAGAGGAAGCAGAGGCTCCGAGAGGCTAAATAGCAAGTCTAAAGTCACACAGCCAGCGAGTCACAGAATCAGAATTCAAGTCATTTTGACTCCAGAATTCATATTCTTGACTCTTGGCCACCCTATTATACTATTGTATGTAGTATATATATCCTCACTAATCAAATCAGGAAAATAACCCATTCCTTTGCCAGTTCTGGCTGAGCTTGGATGAAAACAATTGCTTTGAGAGGCGGGAAAAGAGGGAAAAGGAGAGATGAAGGTAAGAAGGAGGCATTGTTTGGCTCAGATTAGAACAAAGTGATTAAAGCAGTCATTACTGCTATTTTGAGAGAGTAAAAGCCTGCACAGAACAATTCCCCATTGACAGGATGGGAAAAAGAATCAGTCTCTGTTTTTGACAGGTACCTGGTAGATTAGTATTTTTTCTAAGAAGGTGCAAAAGGAAAGTAAGAAGGTTGTTTATTTTGTGCAAATATTTCACATTGCCAAGGTGACCAGAGAGACTTCCCAGCCACAAAACCACAAGAAACCAAGGGAAACGAATGTAGCCCAAAAGGTAGATTTCAAAGTGAAACTAAAATGTTTAAAAAGTACACTAGAAAGGGGGAAGGCTGTAGCACAGATAAAAAAAGAATGTCATTTTTTTTAAGAAAGTTTTTAACTTCAAATGAAGCCAAAGTTTCTTCTAGAATCTATATTACCTATAGGGCCAATCCCTCGACTACAAACCCAGGAATGAAATTGTCGACAAAATAGAGGAGGAAGAAAAAAAACTGCCTAGTACAATTTAATTGAGTTTCCTGGAGGGACAACCTGAAACCAACCAACTTCTCCATACCCTGTGAAGGAATCTGAATCTCGCAAGTCCAGTTGAGGAAAAAAAAAAAAATGGCAAGCAAGTCCTTCTGCTGCTGCATTTTAATATCACTGGAGTTTCTTTAAAGCTTCGGAAGTCTCTTCAGGAAGCCAGGAGCATTCAGAAATTTTAAAACAGGGAGTACTTCTCCTGTCACTCTTTTTCTTTTTTTCACCTATTTAAATTAATTCTATTGCTCACCCAAAGTTCAGGATTCCTGGCCTAGAAAGTAAATTGAGTTTGCGTGTCCTTTGAAGGATTGGGAGAGACAAGGAAAGAGGTAGCCACCCAAGGCTGAAGCCCCAAGGATCCTGGAGAGTGAGTGCGGCCCCCTCCCCACCTCCCACTCTCTGATGGAGTGCAGGTGCCTCCTGTCCTCCTGCCCCCTGCAGGCTCCTGAAGGTCTCACCAGGCCAAGGGTCATCTGTGATCTGAGCAGAAGTACTTATAAGGGATTTTTCAGCCTGCTGATTTAGTAGTAAAAAGCCCATTTTTTTTTCTCATCACTGCCTTGGAGCCAGCGTTTTAGAGAAAAACCAAAGTTTTTAGCCATTCACATTCAGGAAAAAAAAAAAAAAAACAAGAAAAGCTAACTCCTGAGTGACAGCGTCCCAGGGGCAGGCTGTCAGCTGGCAGTAACTGGTGAATTGCAGCTTGGTGCTGGCTGAATTAGACAGCCTGATGGTGGACTGGGGAGGCTGGGGAAGTGGTTGCTGGGGATTCCAGAAAAGTTTGCATGCTCTATCTGATCACATATTTATTACAGGACCAATTTGGTGAAGCCTGAGATACCTCAGTTCAAATCAGAAATTAAACCTGTTTTCAAAGAAGCCCAAGCCTCCAACTCTTTAAACCTTTACCTCTAAGTATAGGCCTCCAAAAACTCACCTAAGCTATAACAGCATCAACAGGGCAATATCTTTTTCTAGACCTATGTCCCCAAGCCTCTGCTGGGACAGAATTAAAGAGCGAAGTTAGATAAAACTAGCTTAGGGGTTTTTGCAGCTGTGCCCACCATGTTGGCAAACACCCCCTCAGGCATCCAACTAATATTCACTGCTACTTTAGGAAAGACAATGCTGGGTACTAGGAGATAGAAAAGTAAAACCCTACAATTTCTGCAGCCCCTGGAGCTTACAATATAGTCAAGAAGAGAGAGAGGGGCATAATGGGAAGAAAGGACCCTCGATGGAAATGTGAAATCTAGATGCAGAAACTCACAAAAAGATTTGATCACGAACACTGGAGTTTCAGAATGATATCGATGATTTTTGAAGGTTACAGATTTTCTATTCAAGTGTTCAAGTACAAAGTAAGCCCAAAGCTGAAAACCTAAGAAGATCATAATCTGTCAAAAAAAAATGTGTCTTTTCCTTTTCTTTTCGGTGTTTCAGACATCTGATCAAAGGGACAGAAGAAGAAGGTGAGAAATCATCATGAAGGCTCTAGAAATTGACTCAAAAAACTTGGGTTGCTTTCTTGAAACAGCCAAATTTCATAATCGTTTTTATAAAAACTCACTTCATCCCATGTCTAAATCCATAAAGTGATCGCAAATTACACTTGGCACCACGTCCCTCACTAGGATGTCGACAGAATTAATGAGATAGTGTCTATACAATGCTTTGAGCTGGTTGGAAGGTGTCACAGAAGCTAAGTCAGAAATACTATTATCACTGAAGCTCATCTAATCCAGTGAGCTTCAGTGGAGCCGTTAAGTACCTCCGTTCTCTCTTCAAATCTTTCTCTCCCTAACTTTTAAAGGTTGGCATGACTGATTCATCTAACATTACTGAAAGCAACCAACAAAATGGAAAAGAAAAGCTTAATGCAAATCCTTCTGTGTTTCTGCACGAGTTTATGCTGAGCAAAGTGTACAACCTACTTCCTGCCCTCCCTGCAGCTCAGGGCCCTATCTGGTTATGTGGCTGTAACTTATCCTCACTCATACAAAAATTATTCATTTTCCACTCTGAGTCAGAACCTTTTGGTCTCCAAATGTACCGACAAAAATATATCGACTCAAGCTATTTTATGTTTGGGATGTTTTCCCCGTGAACACACATTTATCCCTTTCGCCCTGTGTCCCTTCAGAAATGAAGCGCTTCATTTCCATCTCATTGATTTCTACGTATTTGAATATTGCTCCATTAGGAATATGGATATTTTTCCCCTTGTGTAAGAGTTATACTGGATTCCCAATTAATTATAAGCTCCTTGGAAGCAGGAATTGACTTGGGACTTTCCCTTGATCCTGATTTTTTTCTCCTTTTTTCTCTGAGACAGGATCTTGCTCTGTCACCCAGGCAAGAGTGCATTGGCATAATCACAGCTCACTGCAGCCTTGATCTCCCAGTCTCAGGTGATCCTCCCACCTCAGTCTCCCAAATAGCTGGGATTACAGACATGCACCACCATACCAGGCTAATTTTTTGTAGAGACAGGTTTCACTATGTTTCCCAGGCTGGTTTCAAACTCCTGGACTCAAGCAATCCTCCTGCCTTGGCCTCCCAAAGTGCTGGGATTACAAGCGTGAGCTGCTGTGCCCTGATTTTTGGTTTATCATTTGTATCTGTCTATTTTATTGTATTCTTCTTAAAAGATTCTCTCTCTTTTTGGAGATTTAGGTCTGGGATGATGAGACTCACCAGCGATGCTTTTTGGACGTACATGAGCACCTGGTGTCAACCCTAGGGTTAGAGTGGGCACCAGGGAGGGCACTAGGTTTGTCCTTTATGTCACCTCTCTCTGTGTTGCAAATTTGCACATTTTACACAGGAGGCGAATGCTGCTCCAAGATGGTTTTACAAGTTAAGGATGTGGAAAATACCCACATCCTATTGCAATTACTGACCAAATGAACTCTTCAACTGAGTCAACCATTCCACAGGAAAAAAATAAAAGAAAAAAACAAGAAGTCAAGCAGAAGAGAATAGGCTTAAATATTCAGTAAAGCACTTCAAAGGAATAAGTGTACCATCCTTCAAGGCAAAGACATTGCCATTCATACCCCCAGTGGTTCGTGGGCTGCTCTTCTCCCTGGAAATGGCCATGACCTGCATTAAATCATGCATGACCTCTATACCCTCCAGACTAGAGGTAAGAGTTCAACCAGACCTAGAGTCATACCAGCTCCATATCATAAATAACAACAGCAGCGTTCGTTGATCTCACCCCACTGTTGACCTGCAACAAAAAGAAAAATCATAATTACAATGCTCCTGACCCACGTGACCCTCTTCAGGGTGTTTTCTGATTTTTATTAATCCTCCCCCTGCCCTTACTTCCAGCATAAACTCTTTCAAGCTCGGACTAGTAGATTCTCAATTTACCCACTATTTTCTAGCTCCAAGGAACATGCCCTCATTCACTCCTTTTATTTATTCCCTTTGCAAGAGCTAGCTCAAATATTCTAAGCAGCCTTCTCTGATCACTCCACAGGGACTGCTTCTGTCTTCTAGAGCATCT
Organism: Homo sapiens; assembly: GCF_000001405.40. Taxonomy (NCBI): domain Eukaryota; kingdom Metazoa; phylum Chordata; class Mammalia; order Primates; family Hominidae; genus Homo; species Homo sapiens. The sequence continues at coordinate 8,401,091 of NC_000010.11, read as the reverse complement.
CTGGGAGTCATCCGTCACTTGGCACTTAGCATAGACTTATTCTCCTATTAAGTATGCTATTTATTCACTCAATCCCTGTATACTGAAATGCATAGCAGGTGCCTGGCCTTGTGAGGTGCTGGCAATACAAAGACACATCAACACATACCCTGTCTTGGAGTCTGTAGACAGCATAGCTCCTCAGTCTGAAAACTCTTCGAGGGTAAAAGTCTCCCTGATTCTTTTTGTTCCCCATACTTAGGTAAGAAAGCATGCTGGTCAATAACAAGTGATTCAACTATGCAATCAGAAAATCCCAAAGAGGCTTTCCCAAGTGCTGATTCATGAAAACGCCTCGTTTTTAACTCTAAAATAATCACATATTCCATGATTTTGTTCTCTGGGTGAGATTAACACAGGTCGATTGCTTTAGGCGTTTTCTAACTACTGTTTACCTGCTCTCTAATTTAGGAATTTGGAGGGGATTGGAAGAGGTGTGTGGGGAGGTGGGGGCTGATGATGCATTTACATAACAAAATATGTTTATAGTAACAGATTCCAGTCATTCAAAATTCAATAGAAACCAAAACAAATTTGCAAGAATGAGGGGCAGTTGTTCACCTTCCTCTTACCTCCAGCCACCGGCTGGGTCATTCGGAATGTCTTTAGACTCCGTCCTTTTTTTCCACCAGAGGGTACATTAGCTAAGTAAGTTATTTACCTCTAACCGAAGCCCTTAGGGAGCACAAAAGAGGGAAGTTGGTCATTGCCCCGAAGATGACAGAGCAAAGGGCATATGTTTTCCTGAGGAGCCAGGATGGCTCTGCAGCTGGGTAATTCATCCCAGGAACTGTGGTATTTATCTTCTCCACAGTCCCAGACAAAGGAGGTCCAGGCACAACAAAGTCACCCACCCCAAATGCCTTTGTCTCGGAGCCTCTCCTTTCCCCATTCCTGCCCACTCCCAAGCCCTTCCTATACCTTCCTGCCTCACTTCACACACCCAGCAGAACCAAAGAGGGGACCCACGCCCATAGTTTTTGACCAATTTTTGTTCCCACCAAGCAGATTTCCATCAGATAGTCTCATCAAGATAAACAGAATAAGAAAACAGGCATAGAAAGGATGCCAGGGGTGACAGCCCGGGGGCTAGGAAGAAGGAAATAGAGAAGATGGCGAGGATAATTTCAACTGTGGCCTTAATGGCATAAAAGTCTTACAGAGAGTCAATATTTGTTCATTGGGTTTGATTCAGAGCAAAAAATGAAATAAAATAGAATACCTGGTTTGTGTTCCCATGGCGTTTATTGATGAGAGTCAGTCCATCTGTACTCAGCTTCCTGATATGAAGTCTAGCACAATATCGATTTCTTCTGTGGCAACACATCCTGCTGATGGTCGGTTCTACTATCCTACTATCTCCATTTACAGGTAAAAGGAAGAAAGAAGGAAAAAAATATCATCCATGTAGCAGATTTTCTTTCTTTCTTTTCTTTGCTTTTTTTGATTTGTTTGTTTATTCTTGTTTTGTTTTGTTTTGTTTTGTTTTGTTTGAGTCAGGGTCTCGCTCTGTTACTCAGGCTTTGGTGCCATCACAGCTCATTGCAGCCTCCACCTCCTGGGCTCAGGTGACCCTCCCACCTCAGCCTTCCGAGTAGCTAGGACCACAGGGACGCATCACCACCCACACCTGGCTAATGTTTTTGATTTTTTGTAGAGATAAGATCTCATTATATTGCCCAGATTGGTCTCAAACTGCGGGCCTCAAACAATCCTCCTGCCTCAGCCTCCAAAAGTGCATGATCATATTGCCCAGCCAATTATTTTCAAGGTGGATTTTTGCAAGCAGTTTCATCTAAAAGCTCATACTGGGATAGCAGTTACAAAGACTTGGGTAGAGTCAGAAGGACCTGAGTTTCAACCCAGCTCTGCAATTTACTAGCTATATGACCATGAAAACTACTTCTGTATTCTAAACCTTAATCTAAAACTTTTGCTGGGATTAAATATTTGTGATAAATATGATTAAACAGTGTATGTACAGTAATGTAATGCATATTAAGGACACACACACACACATCCTAAATCTGAAACCTACAAGGACTTCCTTGAGATTGACAGCTGAATAGAATCTGCCCTGGGTTTATCACGAGGAGCCCTAAAGGAAGTGAGTTATATCAGAATAAAGTTGAGAAACAGAATTCAGCCCAGAATGAAGCCCAAGAATCCCAGAGATAACTGGACCTAAGTTCATCTAGAGTTCAGTGAGAAAGTTAAAATGTTCATTTAGTTAGAAAGTTAATTCCTTAGAACTTCAAATTCCCATCAAAAACTTGATTTTTATTCTTCTTTCTCCTATTATGTTCTGTCTTCTCACCAAAAACAAAGGAAGGATCCATGCATTTATTTCCTGACTGGGCGGGGTCTAGACCTTCAGAAGAATTTGGGTGCTTAAGGTCTAACTAGTTACAAATGATGGACTTCTTTTCCCATAGCATTTCTGAATAGGGATACCATGTAAAAAGAAATGAAATTGTGTATTAAGTTTCTTGAGCTTTCTTAATGAATAAATAATTAAAGGGATGGATTACTTATTTCCAACACCATGATAAATTAGATATGGGGACTAATGCATGTGTCAACTTCGTTTCTTTTAATTGACAAAGTAATTTGTTATTTATCAAATATAAAGGTCACAAAAGAAATGTATTAATTTCTAGCCAGTATCTGGAACTTAGAGAATTAATTAGAATGCAGTATCAACCAACTCCTCCACATGAAAAGACAGAGCTCATCCGTCACTTTCTCCAACATCCCTGATTCCAGGTGTAATTACTAAAACAGCAATGATTATTTAATTCTTCCATTTCCCTTTTTGACATTGTGATGTTGTTACTTTTCTTCTTCTGTGTTGTTTCAACAAATGGTGGTAAGAGAGGTTTAATACATAATTAAGACATTATTTTATGTCAATTTCATTTTAAAAATGCATCATACAAACTGAATTATCTTACATGGCTTCGAAGTATTTAAAGCAACTGTGGGTGTGACTCATAGTTACATGGCTTTTTACCTCTCATATAAGCACACTCTAAAAGACCATTCTAATAATAGAAAAGAAAATTTTTCAGCATGGTCTATAGCAGTGCTACCCAATGGAAATATAATGTGAGCCTTATATGCAAATTTTAATTTTCTAATAGCCACATGAAAAAAGCAAACTAGTAAAACTTATGTCAGTAATATACTTCATTTAAGCCAATACATCTAAAATATTATTTCAATCTGTAGACCATATAAAAGATTGTCAAGATATTTTACATTCTTTTCCATCCTAGTCTTCAAAATTAGACGTGTACGTTATACTTGCAGCACAAATAAATTCAGAAGCTAAATTTCCAACGGTTAAAATAAAATATAGCCCTGCCAAAACAAAAACGGTGTGTTTATCATAAAAATATTTTACACTGCTCTAGGTTTGAAATCTAAATTTAAAGTCATTAAAATCAAATGCAATGAAAAAGTTAGTTTCTCAATCACACTAGTCATTTTTCAAGTGCTCAAATGCCACATGTGGTTACTGGTACCATATTGGACAGCACAAGTCTGGAAGTTGAAGCCATTCCATCCAGTGAAGCGAAGCATAATGCTGTCAGTCTTCTCTTAGTAGTGTTTACGAGGTAGAGTCCCCAGAAGATAAGAATGTTGGTTAGGTATCTGAGATGTGTCAGGCACAGTACCTGGCCCACATCAGTTATAACTGCAGAGTGCAAACTCTCTGAGGGTAGGCACTTCATCTGCTTTGTTCCCTATTAGCGTCTTCAATGTTAGAATATTCCTGGCTCACCGTAAGCATGCAATGAATATTTGTTGATAAGCAAATTTGTTGAATTTTCTGTAATGATTTTAGCAACATTATGAGTTAAAAGGACTCAGATAAGCTAAGTACCTTACCCAGGATTACACAGCTAATAGTGACAGAGTCAAGATTCAATCTCAGAATTGTGTGACTCCAAAATCAGTGATCTCTTCATGGTGCCACACTACAATCAAATGTCAACAAAAATTTTGTCTTACTTTGGAATTCATCATATAATGTGTTGATAGTAGATGAGCCACTCTGCATATATGTAGTTATACTTGTATTGAAATTAGTTTTCATCCTCCAAATACATACCAACTTATGCAGAGAGCATGAGAGAGGCAGTTGGAATGTGTGTTGGGTGGAGCAAGAAAGTCAGTCTTGCTTTGAACATCAGTTGAGGGCAGGATGTGTAACAGATAGTTGAAATACAGCAGATTTGGCTCAATCTCAGAGGAATCTGTTCCATGTATATGTTTTGGGAATCCGTTCATAATGCTGACAGATGTTACTTTGCCAATTAAAACTCAGCCATTCCTGTCCTGAAAAAGCAGTGGGGAAATAAGGACACAAACCACTCTCTTACTTTCTACTTCCCTTTCTCTCTCCACTCCACTCTAGCCTAAATCTCTTGCTTAAATCCCTCTACCTTTTGCATTTGTACCTACTCATCTCTCACTGTGACATTTCTCCTTCTTCTTCCTTTCAAGTCAATAGATCAGAGTTCACAGTTTGTATAATTACTGGTAAGCTTGAGAAAGTCATGTAACCTCTCAAATAGCTTTTTCATCTGTAAAATGGGAACAATACCTGTCTTATCTACCTCTAGGCAGCCATCAATTAAACAATGGAAGCATAATTGTTCACTATATAAAGATTAGCTATTACTGTTATTACCAAATTCAACTTAAGCTTCAACTGGCATGTCTTGTTATTATTTTTATTATTAGTATTATTATTTTGAGACAGAGTCTCAATCCAAGCAGGATTGCAGTGGCACAATCACGACTCACTGCAGTCTCGAACTCGGGTTCAAGCGATCCTCCTGCAACTGGCATTTCTTGAGAGCCTATTATTTTGCAAGCATTTTCAGGGACTTTCATTCCCTTCACCCCTAACCACCCCAACCTCAGCACATGTCTCTTCTCCCATAAAGACATCTACATCTGCCTAGTATTTTGTTGTTGCTGTTGTTGTCATCATCCAGAGCATTGACTACCTTGACCAATGATTTTCAAATGCCAGTACACTAATGAATGTCAAGTTGTGAAAAAGTTTGCCCAGGGCCAAGACTAAATAATGATAAAACAACAATGTAGTTTTTCTTCACAAAGCCAAACTAATTAAATTTAAATAATACATTATGCTGAGATTGTCTTTCCTTGGTTTCATTTTTGTTTAAATGTCTTTTTTTAAAAAAAAAATGAAAAGATGATAATGGTGTTGATGATGATAGACTTTTTTTTTGTTTTAGTTAATGCCCTTTTGTGGCAAAATGAAAAATTTGCAATATTATGTTTACCTCTTCAATTCAAAAAATTGTGTTAGGTCCATGAAGTTCACAGTTCTCTGAGCTTCAGTCAACCTCTTTGATGTCAGTGAGTTGAGAATAGGGTTGTGCTATGTTGTCATTTAGCCAGTTCCCTGCTAAAACACTTCAATGAGTTCCCATTGTTATTGGGTTAAGATTAGTCTTTAAAATACTTTTCAAGCAGCTTCTGTTCTGGTTTCTGTCTCCCTTGTCTACTTCCCTCTTGCCTGGTCTCCCACCCCCAGAGCCCACCTGAGCTCTGGCCACATGGCTGTCCTTTCCTCCCTTGACTGCTCAGAAATTCTATCTGTTCAGAGCTTTTGCCTGTGCCATGGAGTCTGTCTGGAGCACCCTCTTCTTGTCCTCATCTCTCATCCTACCCACTTCCCTTGGTTAATATTGACTCCACCTTCAGGGCCAGCTTAAATGGCACTCTCTGCTTTCCAGTAACAATCTAAGGTTCCCTGATAGACTTTTTCCTACTTCTCAGATGGAAGATAGTGCTGCATACAGAGAGAAGTTTAAGGTTTCCCCAAAGTTGGTGACAGAGAGAGGACCAAAACCCAGATTTCCTGATATGGAATAGAAAGTTCTTTATAGAATCTCTCTGCCCAAATAAGGTTTTTATGTTGCTGGAGGGGTTGTGGGGTGGGATGTGGTATGGGGATAAGGAAGGGTCTTAAAATGGGAATCCCCCAGGCCAGAGCTATCTGCTCCCACCTCTTCTGAACTCTAGCTCAAAGCTCAATCCCATCAGGAGACAAGGTCTTTAGCCATTTATCCTTACCATTGATGGGTGGTTACACATAAACCTGGGTGGTAAATCTTTTATACCCTTGAAAAACAAAAATGAAAAACTATGCCTTTTTTTTTTTAACGGGGTCTCATTCACTCTGTCACCCAGGCTGGAGTGCAGTGGTGCGATCTTGGCTCACTGCAGCCTCTGCCTCCTGGGTTCAAGTGATCCTCCCACCCCAGCCTCCCCAGTAGCTGGGACCACAGGCACATGTCTGGCTAATTTTTTTGCATTTTTGGTAGAGATAGGATTTCACTATGTTGCCCAGGCTGGTCTCCAACTCCTGAGCTCAGGAGATCCACCTGCCTCAGCCTCCCAAAGTACTGGGATTACAGGCATGAGCCACTGCACCTGGCCATGAAAAACTATGCCGTTCTGAAAGTGAAATATATCTCCTATTTTTACAGATTACAATGCCTATAAAACGTCCATTTTCTCATTTCCTTCCACCTGCATGGAAGAATCCCTCCTTAACCAGTGAAGTAGACGAGCTTCTAGGACAGCCAGAGGTCATCTCCCAGCCAACAGGTGTGAGCTGGCTCTCCCTCGTGTAGCACCAGCAGCACAACCTCTTGGACCTCCAGTCACTTTGTCTGCAGGGTCTTTGTTCAACCCCCACTGCCTCTCAGGAATGGGGACATTGGGGAGTCACACACTCTGGGGGAAGCTTCCTAAACAACACCCCCACCCTGCCTTCCTGGCTGTTTACAGCCCTTACCTAAAGGATGGGATGGGCCATTTTTGATAATGAATGTTGTGTTAGGAAAATCCCCCCAGCATGTAAACTAATGATCAGCTAATGATACCCCAAACCTGAAGCTTAGTGTCCTGAAGCCAGGAGGGGATTCGCTTCAGTGGTTCTCAGAAGTTTGCTATCAAAGAAGCAAAAAAGGCTCTTGGAGGCCTTTCCTTCAGACACTCTCCTCTACGAGATGATAACACCATGCCCAGCTTGTAGGGAAAACCCAAAACAAAACTCCTTCCCCAGCGACCACTCCAATCTCTGATGGGGCTTGTTCTAAAATGAACCTGAGGAGGGAAGTTGCTTGGACTCAGAAGTAAGTTGCATGACTCATTGGTTTATGAAACTGGAATAAACAGAAGGAAGCAAGTGCCTGAAGAAACAATAGGAAATATGAAGGGTCTGTCTTCTGGGGAGCTTGAGAAGGCGTCCTCATTTGGCAGTTGTGGAATCCTGCTGGCCAGCAGGGCATTGTTTTCAGGGAGCTCATGCTTTCCAGGGACTTGGCATGACATCACACACCTCCAGGTTCCGCTCTACTGGGGGAGGCCCCTGCATTTCTCCATCTTTCCTCCAGTGAACCAACATAATGATAACTATGAAAATGACCAGAAGAAAGGCCAAAGAAAGACCAGGTTGGCCAGATTAGGAGTCATTTATCCAGGGTTAAAACAGAGAGAAATCTAACACCAAAATGGCATCGGCGGTGCTACCCCTGCCATTAACTGTGCAATGCTGCCTTCACAACTGGTAACAAAATTCAATGAGGATGAGGGATTAATTGTTATGGCAGTGAGCAGAGGAAAAACAAAAACAGGAAAAAAAATGGGCGTTGTGAAAACAGGCCACTGATTGACTAATTATATAGTATTTTACTACTAGTAAAAATTAGGAATGTCAGTAGAGAGAATAAAGTAGTTTAATTAGAAGTTAAAGGTAGCCTCGCTAGTCCTCCAAAAAAGAATAGCCACATTGGGGTGATAAACCCTTTGAACTGTGTCTAAGTACCAGTACTGTTTACCTTGAGGAAGGAAACTGTCAGTTGTGTTTGTTCACAATGAGCCAACCACAATGTGCCTGATGGATTTGGGACTAGTAAAAGAGGGGCACGTCAAGTGTAGGAAGCCAGAGGTTTATCACGGGATTAGATTTAGAAAGACAAAAGTCATCAGGAGACTGGTTGGCAGTCATTGTTTGCTGTGAAACTCTAGTCATGGAGTTGTTTTTCTTGAGGGTTAGCCCTACATCATAAGGGGAGCCAAATGCCCCTAAAATAATAGAAGAGTAGAATAATAATTCTATTAGCCACTCTTTTTAAGAAATGTAGATTTCCCCCATCCCAATATTTTAGATGGTGATTTATTTCTCCTTGGAACAAATCTTACTTATTATTAACCAAGAGTATCATCAAAACTGCATGTTCATAGAGTTACTAGTAATCAGTGTCAAGAGAGTTCCATTTAATCCAGGAATTTCATTTAAAATGTTTTAAATGTTGATCAGAAGCAGTTTTTGAAAGCATACCCTTTTGGTTCCTGAAAGCAAATGTAAAGTAAAACAAATAAACAGGCAAGGGGATAAAACAAAGAATGCTCTCTTTGTTCTAAACATGAGTGGACTGAAAAGCTAGTACAGTTCTTTCCAGAACTTTCTATGACACAAGCATAGGCAATTTGAAAAATGAAGAGTTTCATTTCAGGTTAAACACACTTGAATCACTGGTGAGTACTGCAACAAAAAATACAGAATTCAAGGAAAAGGCAGAAATGTGTTACTCATTTGAAAATTTTTTTCCCTACTGGCCTGTGGATCAAATCTCATGATTCAGAAGAGTTCCGTGGCTTCAAAGCTGTTGACAAACTGACAAAGTATGTCAGATGCAATAACTTATTTTACTTAAGAAAGTGCTTGGACATAGGTACTGTGATTTTCTGCGTACTACAAACTGGTCTGCTCCTACTTCACCTTGTTAATAAGCAAGACAAGCTACTGTTATTTTTTAAAAAACAGATTCTTAAATATTCTGTTGGGCAACTTTGTTATGCCTTAGATCCATTTTATTCAACTCTTTTTTTTTAACACTACCCTCTTTCTATAAGGATAAAAATCCCATGCTTTCATCTGCTAAGATTCCCATACAGATTCCTTTGCTCTGTTGAGATTATGTCTTTAAGGGGGAGAATCACTTATTCAGGACAAGCCAACTTTGTAAAAAATTATTTTATGTTATTTTTGCAATGAAAATAATATTTATTTATTTATTTTTGAGCCAGAGTCTTGCTCTGTCGTCCAGGCTAGAGTGCAGTGGCACAATCTTGGCTCACTGCAAACTCCGCCTTCCGAGTTCAAGTGATTCTCCTGCTTCAGCCTCCTGAGTAGCTGGGACTAAAGGCACCCACTGCCATGCCTGGCTAATTTTTGTATTTTTAGTAGAGATGGGGTTTCACCATGTTGGCCAGGACAGTCTTGATCTGATATCATGATCCACCTGCCTCAGCCTCCCAAAGTGCTGGGATTACAGGTGTGAGCCACCACGCAAAATACTTTTTTCAAATAAGGTATTGTACATTCAGAATAGATGTTTCTCCAAAATGTAAGAAGTACTGGTGAGGACATGGAGAAATCAGGATGCTTGTTCACTGTTGCTGGGTATGTAAAATGACGCAGCTGCTACAGAAAATGGTATGAGGGTTCCTCAAAAAATTCAAAATAGAACTACCATATGATCCAGCAATCTCAATTCTGGGTATATATCCAAAGGAATTAAAATCACCATCTCAAAGAGATATCTGCACTCCCATGCTTACTGCAGCATTTTTCACAATAGCCAAGATGTGGAAACAACCCAAATGTCTACCAACAAATGAATGGATAAAGAACATGTGGTATGTACATGCAGTGGAATAGTATCTAGTCTCAAAAAAGAAGAAACTCCTATCTTTTGTGACAACATGGATGAACCTGGAAGATATGCTAAGTGAAATAAGCCTGATTCTGCTTGCATGAGGTCTCTAAAATAGTCAAACTCATAGAAGTACAGAATAGAATGGTGGTTGTCAGAGGCTGGGGGAAAGTGGGGAGTTATTCAATGGATATAAGTTTTAGTCATACGAAATGAATGAGTTCTATAGAGCTGCTATACAACACAGAGCCTATAGTTAATACAGTGCTAAGAGTTTTTTTTAAAGAGAGTAGTGCTCATATTAAACATTCCTACCACAAAATAAAATAAAATAAAATAAAATAAAATAAAATAAAATAAAATAAAATAAAACAAAACACCAGGAACTTTTGGAGGTGATGGATATGTTTATTAACTTGATTGTTGGAATAGTATTCTCAGTGTATGCATATGTCCAAACTCATCAAACTGTGTATGTTAAACATGCGCTGTTTTTAAAACTATCAATGAAGATGGTTTTTAAAAAAGAGTAAACAGTTTGCTCCAATACCCAATCCAGTGCCCACTCCAATACCCAATCCAAGTTGGGAAATTCTCCTTGGGTTACTGCTATTCCAAAGACACCCATACTTGATCAGGATGATCTTGGAGACTCCAATCATACTTCTTAAATATTCAAATTCACGGCTGGTTGCTAGGAAGCAAAAACTATGATTTTGGTGGCAATCTGCGGGAAATTGAGCTTTTTTTCTGTTGGTTGCTTTGTTAGTTTTTCCAGGCCTACACAAAAAAAGCTTTACTCAGCAACAGAAGAAAGTGGGTGAATTTTGTTCATGTCTTAGCTTTTAGTAGTTGATCTCCTTAGCAGAGCTCTTATTGCAGTAGCCTATCATCTTAAGCGTGTCCTTATCTATTTAATTTTCTCATGATGTTCCTTTCTCTTCCAATTCCCCAAATATGCATAACTCTCCATCTTTGTTAAATCTCAAGTTCCCTAAACCCTTAAGGGCAGCTAAGAATCTGAGGATATAATCTTTGGTAATAGGAGAAAGCCTGGGGGCATTTATTTATACATTTTAATTATGCCACAGGGAACCTCTAGCTGGGGTCTTTGAATCCCCAAATCTTAATGGGAGTCTGATGGCTCTCTTCAGTAGTTCAAAGAGCCTCTAAGAACTTAGTGTTGCTTTTGAAGAAGACACATGATGTAACTAAAGCCATTCACCATATTATTAAATGAATTAGTTTACTATTTCTTACTGTCATTTGCTGTTTGCCAAACGCTGTTTGGACTCATTATTGCACATTCCATTTTATTTGCTTTGAATAATAAAAATGAGGAAATGAATGATTACTTCCTGAAAATGGATTTTAAGAGCTTACGTGATGATTCAGCCACTTAGTTATCCTTGAACAAAGAATGGTCCTCTTGTCCCTGGGAACTTGGTTCTCTATAGCCAAGCCTTAGGGGCAATACCATTGAGGAGGTAAGGGAGGAAAGTGATTCCTCACATCCTAACCCAGTCTCCAGTCTGTCAGGTCAGATGATTCAGCTCTGGAGTTCAATGGAGCAAAAAATGTTGTCTATTTAATTGGATAATAAAATTCTTTCAAAAATTGGAGCTGGGTTGGAAGTTTGCATTAAGAGGTCAATCATCTAAACAATGCTTGTCATGAAAAGGTAGAAAAACTCGTCTGCAGCCATTTGTGATACTAATGGTGGGAACTGGCCAGGAACCAGCTAACCTTCTTTGTCTTAGTACATCCAGTACCCAGTTGCACCTTGGAGCCTGGTGCAGGCTCAAATTTGAAGGGATGATTGACCTATGGCAGGCTTATGGATGCCTCTACCATGAAAGTGCAAGCATTTGCCCAGAAGATGAGAGTAACAGAATCCCGAGGCAGGCCACTGTTGGCAGGAGCCAAGAGAGAGCTCTCAACCTAAGGCCAAGACTATCTTCAGGATTCCAGGTCTCCCATCTGAAGGAATCAAGGGGAGCCTCAGATGGCTCCATGCTCCTGGAAACTCTCCCTTCACTCTCCCTGACCTCCACACCCACATGTCTTCCCTATCTGACTTGGGACCACCAAGGCTATCCTTACCACACCCTTGACCCCAGGTCATGTTGGAAGTTCAGCACTGCCAAGCTCTCCCTTATTCCTAGACTCTAATTCCCATTCCACTCATGCATGGCCGCATGGCCTTCTCTAAGCCCATCCATTTCCTTTCCCCTCCCCTCCCATTTTTATTTTTATTTATTTATTTTTATTTATTTATTTATTTATTATTATTATTATTTTTTTGAGACAGAGTCTCGCTTTGTCACTCAGGCTGGAGTGCAGTGGCATGATCTCGGCTCACTGCAACCTCCACTTCCCGGGGTCAAGCAATTCTCCTGCCTCAGCCTCTCGAGTAGCTGGGACTATAGGCATATGCCACCTTACCCAGCTAATTTTTGTATTTTTAGTAGAGACGAAGTTTCACCATGTTGGCCAGGATGGTCTCAATCTTCTGACCTCGTGATCCACCCGCCTCGGACTCCCAAAGTACTGGGACTACAGGCATGAGCCACCGCGCCCAGCCCCCTCCCCATCCTTTGAAACCCTTTCCCTGTGCCTTCTGGGATTCACACTCAACTATCTGGAAACTCCCTCATATCCCCAAGCTCCTGCTCCAGTGGGAACCTGGTTCTCCTGGACATCTTGCTGAAGCTGCAGCCAACTCACTTCTTTCTAGCCCTGGGCTGGGAGATGCGGTGGGCCACATCTCCCTCCCCTCTTCAATGTTGTTTCTAGGCTATTCTCCTGCCCTCCTGCCTAAAAATCCAAGCTTCGAATCCTATATCATTGAACCTTACCACCAATTACCCCTCTTTGTTGCAAACAATACTCAATCCTGCTCCCTCTCCCCAATTATCCCTTAATTCCTTAAAGAGTTTCCCTTCTAGTCAAAAGCCACTCTCTCCAACAAACTCCCATTATAATTCTTCATGATTTCAATATCCACTCTCAGTTCCGTGACACCCTCTATGCCAGGCAGCTAGTGCTCTCACCCCTTAACCACAGGCACTCCCTTAATCACATCATAACCAATAACTGAAATCCCTTCACCAGTATTTTCATTGCAAATGCCCAATTCTTTAGCCACCACTCTCTTTCTTTCCAATCTGCCCCTTCTAATAACTCAGGCTGGGCATGGTGGCTCATGCCTGTAATACTAGCACTTAGGGAGGCCTAGGTGGATGGGCTCCTTGCTTGAGCTCAGGAGTTGGAGACCAACCTGAGCAATACAGAGAAACTCCATCTCTACAAAAAATACAAAAATTTAGCCAGGCAAGGTGACCTGCACCTGTTGTCCCAGCTGCTTGGGGGACCGAAGTGGAAGAATATCTTGAGGCTAGGAAGTCAAGGCTGCAGTGAGCCAAGATCATGCCACTGCACTCTAGCCTGGGTGACAAAGTGAGGCCCTGTCTCAAAAAAAAAAAAAAAAAAAAAAAAAAAGGCCAAGTGCGATGGCTCACACCTGTAATCCCAGCACTTTGGGAGGCCGAGGCTGGCGGATCACCTGAGGTCGGGAGTTCGAGACCAGCCTGACCAACACGGAGAAACCCCGTCTCTACTACAAATCCAAAATTAGCCAGGTGTGATGGCACACGCCTGTAATCTCAGCTACTCAGGAGGCTGAGGCAGGAGAATCACTTGAACTCTGGAGGCAGAGGTTGCAGTGAGCCGAGATCGCGCCATTGCCCTCCAGCCTGGGCAACAAGAGCGAAACTCAAAAAAAGGAAAAAAAAAAAGCCACTTTGAATCTCACGGGAACCTCCATGTTGTTGACTCTGTTTATCCCTATTTATTTATTTCGTGTATCCCCTTCTCATTCTAATTACCTTCCTTACCCATTTTAATTCTATAGACACTCACTAAAATCACTCCCTTCCATACGCCTCAACTCCCTCACCTCTGGCTCACCTGGCAAAATCCCAGCCCTAGTGAGACCCAGCTCTCTCACCACTGCACCCAGGCATTCCAGTACAGCTAGAGAAAGGCACACAGTTAAACGAACTGTTCTCTCATTGATTTAAAATCAATGATGAATAATATTGGATGCGACCTAATGCTGCCCCTGGCACAGCCTCTTGTCCTGTGTATCTATCGAGATGGGCACCTAACTCCTCTCAAATCCACCTTCTCCGCTGTGGCGAGAGCTGAACCCTCCATCCTCCTAACAAAGAAAACCCTCCACCTGGGCAGTAGATTCCAGCCTCTCACTGCTCAAGAATGTTGCTGCATCAGATCGCCCCTCTTTTCCTTGCATCATTAAAATTCCCTGCATAGGCCAGGCATGGTGGCTCACGGCTATAATCCCAGCATTTCGGGAAGCTGTGGCAGGCAGGTGGCTTGAGGCCAGGAGTTCGAGACCAGCCTGGCCAACATGGGGAAACCCTGTCTCTACTAAAAATATTTAAAAAATTAGCCAGGTGTGGTGGCACACACCTATAGTCCCAGCTACTCAGGAGGCTGAGGCAGGAGAATCGGTTGAACCTGGGAGGTGGAGGTTGCAGTGAGCCGAGATCACACCACTGCACTCCAGCCTGGGCAACAGATTGAGACTCCGTCTCAAAAAAAAAAAAAAAAAATTCCCTGCATAATTAAATCAGTATTCAAACATACTATCTCTCTTGCCTTCATAAAGAAAGACAATAGCAACAACATAAAAGTGCTTCTGACCCAACTTCTACCTCCAGCCCTCTCCCCATTTTTATTTTTCCCTTTGTGAAAAAAAACTCCTTGGAATTCTGTGCTTGCTGTCTACGATTTCCCTCTATCATTTTCCTCTTGAAGCACTTCAGGTCCATCTTCACCTCATCACTCTCCACTGAGATTACTTTATCAAAGTCACCAATGACTTCCATTTTGCTAATCCTATCACCAATCTTCAGTCCTCATTCTTTTTGACTTATCAGTAGCATTTGGCACAGTTGATCACTCTCCTCTGGAACCAGTTTTCTTCACTTAGCAGCCACTGATGTGTGCTTCTCCCTTGTTTCTCAAGCTCCTTTGTCCCCCACCCCATTTTCCTAACCTCTAAATAGTGGAGGACCTCAGGGCTCAGTCCTTGGACTTTTCCTCTTGTCTATTTATATCCATTCCCCATGTGAATTTAACTTAAGTTGTATGACTTTAAATGAAATCTATATTCTGGTCCTTACAACTTTATAACTCCAGTCCAGACCTCTCCTCTGAATCCAGACTCACACATCCAACTTCCCGGTTGATATTCCCACTCATAGGTCGAATAGCCTGATTTTTTGTTTCTTGTGGTTTTTGTTTTGTTTTGTTTTGTTTTTTTTGACAGGGTCTCGCTCTGTTGCCCAGGCTCAAGTGATCCTCCATCATCAGCCTCCTGAGTAGCTGGGACTAGAGGTGCGTGTTACCACACCCAGCTAATATCTGTATTTTTTTTGTAGAGATGGGAGTCTCACTATGTTGCTTAGGCTGGTCTCAAACTCCTCACCTCAAGCAATTCTCCTGCCTCAGCCTCCCAAAGTGCTGGGAATATAGGTGTGAACCACCAGGACTGGCCTTTGAATAGGCTTTTCAAACTTAACATGTTCAGAACTGAGCTCTGGACATCATCCCCTGAAACCTGTTTCTTTGACAGTCTTGCCTTCTGCAGCCCCACTCTTACAATTACTCAGACCCCAAACTTGTCATGCACATTGCCTCCTCCCTTTCTCTTCCACCTGCTTCTAATCCCTCCAAGTCCGGCCTGGCCACCTCTCACCGCCTCCATGTTCCCACCCTGCTGCAAGCCACCGTGGTTTTGGCCTGGATTATTAGACAGTCATTTTCCGATGGTTCCCCTGCTCTATCCTTGCCCCTTTCTCAGTCATGTTATGTTACTTCCCCGCTTAGAGGCATCTAGGGACTCCCCATGTCACTCAGAGTAAAGCCCAGAGTCCTTGCCATAATCAAGGCCCTACAGGATCTGGTTTCCAGCTGTTCCTCTGATTTCTTCTCTTCTTATTCCCTCCCTCACCCACCCCAGCTACATCGGCCTCTGTCTTCCTCTTCAGTTCATCTGAAGAGCTCTCTCTGTGGCCACTGCACTGACTGTTCCTCTGCCTGAAATGCTCTTCGCTTGGCTGCTGTGTAACTCACTCCTCACTTCCTTTGGGTCTTTACTCAAATGACTGTTAAATGAGGCTTGTCTAAGAAATCCTAATTAAATTTTTAACCACTGCAAACCTCAGCAGCTACTATCCTCTCCTGCTTTGTTAATTTCTTTAGTTGTGCTTTTCAATAATATATGTTTACTTATTTGTTAATTGTCTTTTTGTTTGTTTGTTTTTGACAGAGTCTTACTCTTTTGCCCAGACTGGAGTGCAGTGGCACGATCTCGGCTCACTGCAACCTCTGCCTCCCGGGTTCAAGCAATTCTCCTGCTTCAGCCTCCCAAGTAGCTGGGACTACAGGTGGGTGCCACCATACCCAGCTAATTTTTATATTTTTAGTAGAGATAGGGTTTCACCCTGTTGGCCAGGCTGGTCTTGAGCGCCTGACCTCAGGTGATCAGCTCATCTCAGCCTCCCAAAGTACTCAGATTACAGGCACAAGCCACCGTGGCTAGACAACTTATTTGTTTATTGTCTTTCTTCCCATCTAGAACACCAGTGCTAAGCAAGCAGGATTTTTGTCTCTTTTGTTCACTCTTGAATTCCTAGCCCTTGGAATAATGCCTGGAATGTAGTAAATACTGAAAAGATTTGTTAAATATATAGCATTTATTTGTCACTTGCCTTATATGTTTTATTTTATTCATCATCTTTTGAAGACTAGATGTGTTGCCTTTATTTTCTAACTATACCATAAGCTCCTTGGAGGCAGGGACTGTTTATTTTTTACTTTTTGATCCTCCATAGTACTTTATGTCACATTAATAAAGAACATTAAATAAATATGTGCTGGACTAACGGATTGACAAAACCACTGATACTATTCTAGTTAAATAGGTAATAGAAACTTATGGGTAGCTTAACTGCTATAAAGTCTCATATGCCCTTCCCAAACCTGTGGAAATAAAACAGAATCATAATCTGTAAAAAGGAATATTTATAGCAATATGGTTTGGCTCTGTGTCCCCACTCAAATCTCATGTCAAATTGTAATTACCAGTTTCAGGGAAGGACCTGGTGGGAGGTGATTTGATCATGGGGTGGATTTCCACCTTGCTGTTCTCATGATGATGAGTGAGTTCTCACGAGATCTGGTTGTTTAGAAGCATGTGACTCTTCCCCCCTCACTCTCTCTCTCCTGCTCCACCATAGTAAGATGTGCTTGCTCCCCCTTCACCTTCTGCCATGATTGTAAGTTTCCTGAGGCTTCCCAGCCATGCTTCTGGTTAAGCTTTGGAACTGAGTCAATTAAAATTCTTTTCTTCATGAGTTACCCAATCTCAGATGGTTCCTGATAGCAGTGTGAGGATGGACTAATACATATAGCTACCTCATTGAATTGTTTTGTGCATCCAAGCAGATATCGAACTTCAAAGCTCTACAGAAGTATTAATTGTTCATGTTGGGTCAACGTGTAAGATGAATCAAGTAGTTTTTATTTGGGTGTTCTATTTGACTACCACAGTTCAGGTGATACGTGTGCAGAGAACTCACCTTGTGCATGGCCTCAAGCTAGATGTTGAAGAGCTTACACATTGAAGCCAGTCCTACAAGGAGCCCACACTTCCAGGATGCTCAGTGAAGTGGAATCTCAGCAGATGAAGGAAGGACTTTTCCAAAATTTTGCTCCTGGCTAAAATCCTAGAATTTTATGTTCTTCTATGAGTCTCAGTGTTTGAGTAGCTCCTAACTCTGGGGTTCAAACAAAACAAAAAGCGTGGCAAAGCTTCCTACATCTCTACTCTACTCAAAACATAAAGAGGAAAGAAAAGAAAGAAAAAGGTCAAGAGTTGAGGGGTTTGTATGTTTGGACATGCAAAACAAAGGAAGTCAATACAATGATGTACAAATCCAGACAGAACCCAGAGACAAAGCTCTTCCAGCTTACATAAACCATGGACTGGGCATGTTCTAAGAGAAAAGTGAAGGATTGTCTCCTGGGACTCCAGGCAGATTTTTAAGCAGTTAATAGAATTTTTTTTAATGAACTTGCATTTTTCCAGTTTAGCCATCACTCTTCTCTCAATCTCTCTTTCTCTCTTCACACACACACAAAGAATATTGCAAAAATGATGCACACTGACTTGATTTGAAATGCAAGTTTTGACAAAACACTTTTAATCCTAGTTCAGGTCTTTGGAGATCTATTCTGTCTTTTTTTTTTCTAAGGGTGATGTTAGTTTGACTCTTCCCAGCTTTGGCTGGAAGGTGCTGAAACCATCCACCTGAAGGAACCACACTCTGCTCTAAGTGTATGTCCCACTTCCTTTCTACTCAATCACTTCTGAACACAGGTCCCCTCCCTGGTTCTAAATTGGGACTTCCGACTAAGGTAAATTCTAGAATTTGATCCAATAAACATAACATTTGCTCTTTAGTTGCCTGTATGTGTAAGGATAGAGAAGTATGATATAGAAGGTAAAAGCAAAACTCAGACATCAGATCTTTGGGATTTTGAATCCCAACTCCTCCAAGAGTGTGGGCGTTGTAGGACATTGGGTAGCTTACCTGTCTATGGCTTAGAGAAAGAATGTGTATCAGGGCCGGGCACAGCAACTCACACCTGTAATCCCAACATTTTGGGAGGCCGAGGCAGGAGGATCACTTGAGGCCAGGAGTTCAAGACCAGCCTGGGCAACATAGCAAGACCCCATCTCTAAAAGCAAAACAAAACAAAACAAAAAGAATGTATATTATACTCACACATACTAAGCTCTTAACGGAGGGCCAGTATATAGCAATACGCTTATAGCATATAGTGTAAGTGTTTGCTATTCTTGTTTAATCTATTAGTAATGTCAAATAACGAAGGAATTAACTAATTTTCTATATAGAAACCTAGTGATTTCATTATTCTTTCAACCATCGTCTGCATGGCAAATGCTTAAATAGGTGTGTGCGTATACACACATACATAAACATATATTTATATATGTGTATGTGTACACACACACACTTCTTTCTAAGTTTCAGACATCATTGTACTTCAACCTAATTTTAGCATGCATTGGCTAAGAATAAAGATAATCTTCTACTTAACCACAATACTATAATGATACCCAGGAAAATTTATAATTCCATAATATAATCTATTAAAATATATACTCCATATTTAAATGTCTCTGAAGGTACCAGAATTTTATATATCTATAAATTTATTATATAATATATTTAATATATAAATATATAAATATATTTCATTAATATTAAATATATAATTATTATAAATTATTATAAATATCATAATATATAATTATACATAAAATATACATATATAATTATGTATATAGTTATATATTAATTTAATATTTATATATAAATATATGTTTATACATTAGATTTATATATTATATACATTATATTTTATATATATATAATATTTATATTTTATATATATAATATTTATATTTTATATATAAAATATTTATATTATATATATAATATTTATATTTTATATATAAAATATTTATATATATATAAAATACTTATATTTTATATATATATAAAATACTTATATTTTATATATATATAAAATACTTATATTTTATATATGTATATATTTTATATATATATATGGCTGTTATTTTCCAGACAGGATTTAGTCAAGGTTCATACAGTGAATTTGGTTATTATGACTCTGACAACAACTGCTAAGGATGCCCTCTCCAGCAAAAAATTTTTTTGCATGTACCTTCCCAAGTAGAATTCCTTATTTAGAGAAATTAGGAAACTCTGGCTCAGCTCTCCTTCTGTTTACTGCTGCTGCACTTCAGGCAGCTTGGAGGGACATCTGCTGTGGTTTCTAATGGTTGAGCTTCCATTAAATGAAACCTCAATTGAAAACAGTCATCGCTGGAGAGCAGTTATACCTTTCTCGGGGCTGAAGCTTTCCTGGGAGTTGTAGATTCCTGTGTGCCCTCATTATTTCTGCTTTTTATTATTATTATTACTGTTATTTTAGAACTCCTTGCTGCATCCTCCTAGTCCCTGCCCTCCTTTCCAGGTTCTCTGCCTCCTTTTCCTGAGGGACTGCCCTAGCCATCTGCACAGCAACCTTCTCTTTTTTGAGGAGGGGTGGGTGCAGTGACAGTCTCACTTTGTTGCACAGGCTGGAGTGCTGTGGTATGATCTCAATTCACTGCAGCCTCTGCCTCCCAGGTTGAAGTGATTCTCCTGCCTCAGCCTCTTGAGTAGCTGGGACCACAGGCATGCACCATCACACCTGGCTAATTTTTGTATTTGTAGTGGAGACGGAGTTTCACCATGTTGCCCAAGCTGATCTCGAACTCCTGACCTGAAGTGATCTGCCCACCTAGGCCTTCCAAAGTGCTGGGATTACAGGCATGAATCACCACGCCCAGCCTACAGTCCCCTGCCTGATCAAGGCACTCCCTTGACGCTCCTGAGGACATCGGGTCCCTCGCACAGCATCTCCAGGGACAACTGAAATCTCACCAGGGCAAAAGTCCTGTGTTCCTACATTGATTCCTGACTCTTCTGAACCCGGGGCCGAGGAGACAGGGAGAGGAGGCCTTTATTTTTAGCTTCCAGGTGATTGGAAACTGTGCAGTTCAGTTATCTGACTTTTCCACTCTTCTGAATTTGAGCAGTTCCCTTTGGAGCCTCGTGTTCTCTCAAGCTCTTCTGAACCATTTTGAAAGTAAATTTTGAATTTCCTCTTGTGCCTGCAAATTTTCAGCAGCACAGTGGAGGAGAACTCCCAGAGGAAAGGGTTTGGTTTGCTCCCTCCTCGGGGTCACAGTGTTATCTATTGACACATTCCAAAGCCTCATAAAAGCTGTCAGAACATCAAATACAGAGACTGTCCAAGAGAAACACCCACTGTCAGGGCTTGATTTTTACAGCTACTAATAACTTCTCCCTTTGAGTTTGCCCAGAGCTCTGCACAGAATTGAAACAAACAAACAAACAAACAAAGCTTAGTTCTGCCTTGCCTACAAGTTTGCTGTGTGACCTTAGGAAAGTTGCTTAGCCTTTCTGATCCATATTTTCTTCCCTTGTTAGTCCAAAAATATAGCAAGATCATAGAAATCACTAGAAAATAAGCCCCCCTCATAACAATTAAATTCATTTAAAAATATTTAATTCTTCAAATAGATCTTTAAAATCAGAGACAACTTACAGTTACTGCTAATGAGTAAATTTTTAAGAACTGACTTTGTAAAAAGGAATCAGTCATCTAACCATGTAAAACTTGCCTTCAGGACCAAAGATCACATGAAGGGCTTCAGCTTTTTGCAGGTGGCAAGCTAAAATAACCAAGAAGACATTTGAAAGGAAAAGGAAATTTTTCTTTTAAAAGTCCTATGCTTGCCATTTTGTGGGGTAAAAGTAAATGTTTTAATGTCTTATTGCATCAAGTATATCAATAACACTTAAGCTCTGATTTAAAAATTTCTATCATTTTCCTTCAGGGACTTCATTTTCTCAGCATGAATTTATTTATCTAGCTTTTGTCATATATATATGTATATATCATATATATATCTATGTATATCTATCTATCTATCTATCTATCTATCTATCTATCTATCTATCTATCTATCAGCTAAAACGTTTTAGTCCTGGGCTTCTCACATTGCAAAGCTCTGTCTCAACTGAGCGTGCATTTATTTCACAGCCACACCCCCATTTTTCTGAGCTTTCTGGCAGATGCTTTTCTGCTTTTCTTCATTAGCAAAATATGAATTTTTTGCCTTGGTTTGCAGAGACAGAGTTCTGCCTTTCCTGTGTTCTTGGTTCAGGCGTAACAGTAAAATAGCCCAGTGTCCTGTGTCATTTTGGGGGTGATACCATGGGGTAATTATACTCCTAGCTAAGCTCCTTGTCCCGTTGGTATTCCTTCCCCCACCCCCAACCTTAATCCCTATTTCTACTGTCTGAGAAAACCTGGGAGGATCCAAACAAACTCTCAGTCTAGCAAGTTTAAAAATACGAACGAGGAATATTTTCTAAATAAAGAACTCGAAACCCTAAATGCTAAGTGACTAGGTTACTTCCATCTATTTTCAAAAGCGAAGAACAATATTTTATCTTGGACTTACAGTGACATAAATAACAATGTTTAGAGAAAACTTTCTGCAAATGTCTAAAAGACAGAGGGACAGGCTGGGTCATGGCTGAGGCCTAAAAGAGAATTAGGGGAAAGTCAGAGATTTCCTGCCTTTGTAATGAGTTTACTAATTAAATCTTAATTGTAAAGCAAGCTGAGCGAAATTTAAATGAATTTCTGGTGCCAGAAGCCAGGTTATTATGGTGGGACTGTTTATAAGGACAGGAAAGTGACTTTCTAAACATCAAATTCCTGTGCGTTAGCCAAGACCCAGAGGAAGTCCCCACGTGGAGAAGCACAGAATGTAGCAGAATAAGGGGCTTGGGTCTTGAGATAATTAAATGACACCAAGATGTCCTGAGTCCCCTGAATTCAGTCATTGCCAGAGGCTGCAGTCTTCCTGTTCAGATGGGCTGGAAACAGCCACTTCTGTAATAACCAATGTGTTTTTCCCCCTTTTACAACAAACAAATGATCTAGCCATTTCAGCCGTGATTTAACAGCGCTGGAGATGGAAATTCCTCGACTTTGTAAACCCTGCCCGCTCTATTGAAAAATAAGCCTTGCAAATACACAGAAGCCCAAATACCCAAGAGAGACAAAGCCGCCATAGTGGAAGAGTGAAAAAGAAAGTGGATTTTATTTCCTCCTGGTACTACCCAGAGGGGGAAAGGCAGGCTGTAAAATAAGTAAAACCAGAACTCCTGTGGCAATAGACATGGTTTAACACTATTTATTTACCATGAGATTAGGAGAGTGAATTATCTAAATGCTCCCGTTCTGTTTTGTTTGGTTGATTTTTTTTACACTCACGTATTTAAAGTGGATAACTTCCTTCATAGCCTTTTCAGAGGCGTTCATCTACAGCCAGCCTTTTTCTTGCCCGTACCTATGTTTTGCCACTAAAAACCTCCATTTGTCACATTTGCCATTGGAAATGGGTCTTTGTCCTGGGATCCCTGCAGCATAACCTCACAAACTAGTGACATGTCACAGAGCTGGGACCATGTGGGAAATACCCCATCTGAATCCTACAAGGAATTAGGTTAATAAAAGAAGTGATGGCTGATGCCTGTGGTCTAAAAATTGGAGAGCTAGCAGATCTGTTCCTTGGCATAATTTCTTCCTTGATCTTCCAATCCTCTCCAAGGAGATCACTCACATCAATGCTGGGAAGGATAACCCATAGAATAAGGGATTCAGATAAAAGACAGATAGGATAAGCACAATGGCTCACACTTGTAATCCCAGCACTTTGGGAGGCCAAGGTGGGTGGATCACTTGAGGCCAGGAGTTCAAGACCAGCCTGGCCAACATAGGGAAACCCCGTCTCTACTAAAAATACAAAATAAGTTAGCCGAGTATTGTGGCACATGCCTGTAATCCCAGCTACTCGGGAGGCTGAGGCATGACAATCATTTGAACCCAGGAGGCGGAGATTGCAGCAAGCCGAGATCACACCACCGCACTCTAGCCCGAGCGACACAGCAAGACTCTATCTATCTAAAAAAAGATAGACAGATGGATAGATAGATAGATATCATACATATATAATATACAATTTTATAGTAGATAATATATATAATTATAATTTATTCCATTCAACTACGTAATTTCCAAAATGCAAAATGACTTTGCTATTTCCCTCCCCACCTTCCCCTCAAAAATGTGATTTTCCCTTCAAGCCTCCTCTTGGGCCAGAGTAAGAGAACCTGCTTTCTGGACAAATCATGGGACTACACTCTCTCTACTCAGTGAAGTGTCATAGTCTACATCTTGAGTTTCCCCATCAGATATATCTGGTGGCTCTGAGGAAGTCATAATAGCAATAGGAGCCACATTCAACATGAACACTACATGACTCCACAGCTCACGGGGCTATTAGAAAGCTTCAAAGAAGGCGTTGAGCTATAGAATGTATTATTAGTGTTATTGTCATTTGACCTTTTAATCCAGAAGGAAAGAACCCAAGAAATGCATTCCCTGGAGAGATGTAATCAAACAATTCTTTTTCATATCTAATTTCTTTGAGTCTCTTTCTCAATTATCCCTACAGAGAATTTTGAACTGTCTAGTCTTTATTTACTCAGTAAATGCAAATCGTTTTTATGGGTCTCCTCCAAAGCTCCCAGTTGTTGTTCGTGTCATTTTGTTTTGTTGTTTTTAATAAGAGCCAGAGCTGAAATGCAGATTTACGTAAGAAAAACTCATTTCATCTTCAAAATCTTTTGAGGCTATTTTGAAAGATGGTGCAGCACATATTTCATAAATGCCACTTCGCTTAGCTTTTTCTATCTTTTGGGTAAATGCTATGCTAATCAGGAGATACAAGTGGGAATGTTTTCAGACTGTCTGCTGTATGTGCTGGGGACCATTGCTGGTGCCCAGGGAATGGTTTGACTCGATTCCACTGACTTCCATAAGACTGCTCTGCAAAAGAGAAAAAGCACGCATCATTTTAATTTTAGTTATGGATCAAAACTTTAGGGATGTGTGATGATATTTTGGTTTGGCAGTTGTTGAGTGTCTTGTTTGTTCATCCTTTTAAACCATCAAGCAGCAAAATATTTTCCCGCGCCTCTCCACCATTACCAATGCCATGCAACCACTAAGCTGACTGACCTCAGGGAGGCTTACTGGGGATTCAGTTGGTCCACAAAACCCTTAGGACTGTAGGGTCACAGATTGTTGGTGATAAGGGCAGAAGTTAAGGGGACTTTAAAGAGCTTAGTCTCCCCATCACTTTGCAAAACATGAAAAAGGGTCTAACTATACCCTAATGGCATAATCCTACCTAGACTCCGAGCCTTGGTATTCTTCCACCAAAAGTCTAGTTTGGGGGCCTCTGCTCACTGGGTAACTTTCCCAGGCTGAAGATAACTTGGCAGGACTTATTGGTACTACGACAGCTGTCAGAAGGCCTGTGGGGCAGAATCCAATTTTGAAAGTATATAAATTATCAGCACTGAAGTACCTAGAGATATAAACATATATCCTGTCTGGCACTGGGGCCCACAGCCTGTAGTCTTAACTACATGGGAGACTGAGGCAGGGGTATCACTTGAGCCCAGGTGTTTGAGGCTGCAGTGAGCTGTGATTGCATCATTGCACTCCAGCCTCAGTGACAGAGTAAGACCGTATCTCAAAAAAAAAAAAAAAGGTTGGGGGGAGGGGGCTTCCTTCAGTTTGGGGTTAATACAGAAATTATTGAGTTTTTAGAGAGCTTATTTATTATCTAGCTTAATGCCTCAACTTTATAGGTTAAAAAAGTAGAGGTCAAAAGAAATCACAAGTATATAGCAGAGCCCTTTTTTTACTCCTTCCACAATTCTTTATTCAATTATCTCTAGAGAACTCAAAATAGAGAAGCCATATACATTTTTTATTTCATTGAAGTGGCTTAGCCCCAGTGTTAACAGGTGAATGGGGATGGCATAGTAAAATCTGACAACTGTTTTTTTTTTCTTTTTTGAAGACTTCTTTCATTAAAAATTGATTTTTCCAATTAGACTTCCATTTTACCTTAGAAATGGATTTCAGGGATGTCAAGTGATAACGCAAGCTGTGCTCAGAAGTGCTATTAGTCTAGTGGAGGTGAGATGTGAAGCAATTTGGGCTTACCTGCTAAAGGTCAGATACTTTCCAGTGACAAGTTTCACAGCTGAGTGTAACACTCCATTGCTGAATGGCAGCAAGCCACAAGATGTTGTCATCGGCCCCCACATCCCAGACCAAGCCTAGGCGTTCAGTTGGGCCAAAATGTCTAATTTGATGTCAGAGAAAATACCGAAGTTTTAGGAAGCCCAAAACTTTTCTTGCTCTCTCTTTTTATTTAAACTTTTAATAAGGAAATCTTTGCTTTGAAAAACCAGATTTGCAGCAACATGGATGGAGCTGGAGGTTATTAACCTTAGCAAACTAACGCAGGAACAGAAAACCAAATAGCACATGTTCTCACTCATAAGTGGGAGTTAAATGATGAGAACTTGTGGACACAACGAAAAGAACAGACACTGGGTCCTACTTGAGGGTGGAGGCCAGGAGGAAGGAGAGGAGCAGAAAAATATCTACTGGTTACTAGGCTTAGTACCTGGGTGGTGAAATAATCTCTGCAACAAACACAACCTCCATGACATGAGTTTACCTATATAACAAACCTGCACATGTACCCCTGAACCTAAAAGGTTTTTTGAAAATGAATAAATAAAAATAAAATAATTTTAAAAAATCAGATTTGGTTAGGTTTGGGACTTTTTGTTTTTCCTAAGGACTATTGGCGCTGACATTTTCCACCAAAGGCTCAGTTTTGTAGCGTGTGGATTTCAGTGCCATTCAGATAGATACGGTATCTGTGCAAGAGAGAGAAATGCGAGGGAATGAAGCCGCCCTGCTGTACAGCAATGAAAGGGAGGGAATGACAGAGGGTGAGTAGACCTGGAGGAACTTTCCAGGTGATATAAAAAGAGCTTCTGGAAATGACTGGTCTTCAGGTGCAGCTCCTGAGGCACTGAGCTGGCTGCCATTCAGCTGAGCCTCTGCCACCATGAGAGCGCAGGATCAGGCCAGGGCAAGCTGTACAGTTGGTCTAAAGCTGTTGAAAGATATAAAACCACTTCTCGACTAGTAAACTCTGCAAGAGCAGGAATGTTGTGTGTTTGCTGTATCTCTAGAGCCTAGAACAAAGCTTGGTCTGTAGTTGATGCTTACAGTCTATTTGTCCACAGAAAGGTTACCATATTGGGAGAAGGACCAAGCTAGAGATTTATTCAAGAAATACTCCCTGAAGATGTGGAGAAAAGGTAACCCTTGTGTACTGTTGGTGGGAATGCAAATTGGTACAGCCATTATGCAAAACAGTATAGACGTTCCTCAAAAAATTAAAAATAGAATGACCATAAGATCCAGCCATCCCATTACTGTCTGCATATCCAAAGCAGATAAAATCAGAATCTCAAAGAGATGTCTGTTCTCCCATGGTTATTGCAGCATTATTCACAATAGCTAAGACAGGGAAATAACCTAAGTGTCCATCAGCTGAATAAGGACACTTGTGACATGAATGAATGAATAAGGAAAATGTGACATTTATATCTATAATAGAATATTATTCAGCCATAAAAAGAAGGAAATCCTGCCATTTGTGATCATGTGGATGAACCTGGAGAATATTATGCTAGATGGAATAAGCCAGACACAGAAAAATGAACATTGCATGATCCTACTTATATGCAGAATTTAAAAAACAGTTGAACTTAGAGGAACAGATTAGAATAGTAGTTGCCAGGGGCTCAGGGGTAGGGAAAATGGGGAGATATTGGTCAAGGGGTATAAAATTTCAGTTATAATATGAGTAAGTCATAGACATCTAATGAACTCATAGCTATGGTTAATCATAATATACTGCATACTTGAAACTTGCTAAGGGAGTAGATCTTAAGTGTTCTCATGATAAAAAGAAAGATTATCTGAATATCTATTAGTGGTGAGGTACTAAAAATTGCAAGAGACACAAATACAAAAAATACCTAAATTGCAAGTAGCATGGCATGATGACAAGAGCAAGGACTTTGAAGCTAGAGCTGGTCACTTTCTCTGCCTTGACCTTTACAGGCTCTGTGACCTGAGAAATAATTTCATTTCATGCAGCAGTCTTGTTTCCTTAATCTGGAAAGTGTGGATAGAAATTATCCACTTCACAAAGTTGTCATAAGGATCAATTGAGAGCAGGTGCATATACAATTCTTGGCATACAGCAGGTGCTCAGAAAACAGCATTTTGCTGTAAATTATGTGGTCCTCACTCTCCAAAGATTGGCCTCTAACTTGGGAGATGGAAGCATAAAAATAAAATATACTTGGCCGGGTGCGGTGGCTCACGCCTGTAACCCCAGCACTTTGGGAGGCCGAGATGGGCAAATCACAAGGTCAGGAGATCAAGACCATCCTGGCCAACATGGTGAAACCCTGTCTTTACTAAAATTACAAGTTAGCTGGGTATGGCAATGCATGCCTGTATTCCCAGCTACTCAGGAGGCTGAGGCAGGAGAATGGCGTGAACCCAGGAGGCAGAGGCTGCAGTGAGCCAAGATTGCAATACTGCACTCCAGCCTGGGCGACAGAGTGAGACTCCATCTCAAAATAAAAATAAAAATAGAAAATAAAATAAAATACACTTATATTACCTTCCTACAACTACTATTTATTCATAGAATAGCTCTGGGATGCTTCAGAGTGGTGGTCAGAAAAGTTTTTTTCTTTAGGCTTTGCTAGGCGGGTGGACTCTCTTGCAAATTCTCACACTCTGCCACTGGTTCAAAAGCAGCCATAGTATTTGACCAGATGGGGCTGTGTTCCAATGTTGTAGACTGCTTGGGCTGCCTTAACAGAATGCCACCGACTGGGTGGCTTTAACAACAAAATGTATTGTTTCACAGCTCTAGTGGCTGAAGTCAAAGATCAAGGTGTTGGCACGGCTGGCTCCTCCAAGGCCTCTCTCCTTGGCTTGCAGGCGGCCACCTTCTTGCTCAGTGTCCTCACGTGGTCTTTTCTCTGTGCATGGGTGCCCCTGGTGTCGCTTTTTTTTTTTAAGATGGAGTCTCGCTTGTCACCCAGGCTGGAGTGCAGTGGCGCAATCTCGGCTCACTGCAAGCTCTACCTCCCGGTGTCGCTTTTTGTGTTCCAATTTCCTCTTCTTATAAAGACACCAGTTATATTGGATTAGGGCTCACCCTACGGCTCTCAATTTAACTTAATCCTCTTTTTATTTTATTTTATTTTTTTTGAGACAGAGTCTCACTCTGTCCCCCAGGCTGGAGTCCAGTGGCGTGTTCTCAGCTCACTGCAGCCTCTACCTCCACTTGAACTGGGGAGCAAGTTCAAGTGATTCTCATGCTTCAGCCTCCCAGGTACCTGGGACTATAGTACTGCACCACCACTCCCGGCTAATTTTTGTATTTTCGGTAGAGACAGGATTTTGCCATGTTGGCCAGGCTGGTCTCAAATTCCTGGTCTCAGGTGACCCGTCCACTTCAGTCTCCCAAAATGCTGGGATTACAGGTGTGAGCCACCGTGTCTGGCCTTAATCCCCTCTTTAAAAGCCCGATCTCCTGGCGTTCTTCCTTCCTCCTGGCCCCTCTTTCCCAGTTCCCCTGCCTCCTGCCCTGGCATGTGAGCCCCATGAGGTCAGGAACCTTTCCCATTGTGTTTGCCACTGTACCACCAGCACCAGCAGTGGCCCCTGACCCACTGTCAGACGCACTTAATAACTAGTTCCTCATTTCCCAGGTGGAGTCCCAAAATTCTGTTCCTGGCCCTCTTTCCTCCACTCTGTACAATGATACAGGCAATCATGTTCCTTCTCACGGTTGTCATTGCTTCTTGGAAGCCGATCTCTATCCTAGAACTGTCTCTTGATTTCCTGTGTCCAACCACATGGATGTCCAACTCACATTCAACTCCTGTCAAATATACTCAACCACTCCCACTGCTTATGGGATAAACTGCTGTGGTATGGGTTGAGCTGTGCTCCCCCAAAAGATATGTTGACATCCTAACTGCTGGTACCTATGAAAATGACCTTATTTAGAAACAGGATCTTTGCAAATGCAATCAAGTTAAGATGAGGTCATTAGGGTGGGCCCAAATCCAATACGGCGGGTGTCCCTGTAAGAAGAATTGGACACAGACACACAGGGAGAATGTCATGTGAAGACACAACACAGAGGGAAGAAGGCCATTTGAACACAGACGTAGAGACTGGAGTGAGGCAGCCACCAGCCAAGGCACTCCTGGGTCTACCAGAAACCAGAACAGGCAAGGAAGTGTTCTCCCCTGGAGACTTCAGAAGGAACCAACTCTGACAGTATCTCAATTTTAGTCTTTTAGGTTCAAGAACCGTGAGAGAATAGGCTGGGAATAGTGGCTCACGCCTGCAATCCCAGCACTGTGGGAGGCCAAGGCAGGTGAATCACTTGAGGCCAGCAGTTCAAGACTAGCCTGGCCAACATGGTGCAACCCCATATCCACTAAAAATAAAAATAAATAAATAAATAAATAAATAAATAAATAAATAAATAAATAAAATAGCCATGGTGGTGCGAACCTGTAATCCCAGCTACTCAGAAGGCTAAGGCACGAGAATCGCTTGAACCCAGGAGGCGGGGGTTGCAGTGGGCTGAGATCATGCCACTGCACTCCAGCCTGAGCGACAGTGAGAAAATAAATTCCTGTTGTGTTAAGCCACCCAGTTTGTAGTAATTTGTTATAGCAGCCCCAGGACACTAATACACCCCTCTTCTGGAAGTTGAAGTCACCAGAAATATAACATTAAAAAGACTGTTTATCTAAACTTTATTTTTCACTATTTCCCAACTATTCATCTTCACTCCAGTCCGGTGAGAGTGTCAGTGCCCCACACACATGCCCATCTTCCACTTGCCCTTGCAGTTTTACTCATGTTTGTTTCCATCAGTCAAGACCCAGTTCAAATCCCACCTACAATAATGCACTTACCAACGCATCCAGCATTTATAGAACGGACCTGCTGGGCATCCAGTTTCTCTCCATGGCGCTGCTAATTCCAGTTCTTCTGAGCTCTGCCTTCTCACTGGGTTCACCTCCCAAGGTTTCCAGTCTCCTGAAAGGCAGCGTAAGACCAAATTATTTCTCCTTTTGCATCTCCCGTGTCACATTAGACATTTAGCAAACCAGGGATATACACAGTGTGGGGATCTGAGATGTGGCAGTAGCAGTAGCTGGGTCTGCTTTTCCCCTTTGAGCCACCATTTATTGAGCACGTATTGTATACCATGTATGTTAAATTTGTTATCTCAGTTAATCCTCACAACCACTGTGATGGACGGATCACTATTATTTTTATCTCTATCGAACAGAGGAGGAAGCACTGGTTTGGGGAGATGTGCCATAGTCCAAGTAAATATCAGAAATAAGAATCAAAACCTCCACTGGCTCCGACCCCTGGGCTGTGATGATTTGCTGCTTTCCTTGGTGGTTTCTGGTCTATCTGAGGAAAGAAGCTGAATAAAGGTTTTCCTCTTCCCCTTCCCTCACCCTCTTTAGAGGACACAAGTCAATAGCTGTTAAGGAAGTGAGGTCACTTTTAACGTGATTTTTGGCTCATGCCATCTCTGAACTATTGTTGAAAAGCATTCTCAAGAGAATGGACTTGGTTTAGTAATCAAACCGAAACGCTGGTGACTCAGAAGGCTCCTGGGAACATGAGGGGAGAAGAAGCCACAGGGGTCGCCTCACTGAACACCTGGCCCCAGGCAGGACCACACTCACCAAGGTGACCATCAATGCCGTCTTCAAGATTTCCAAGCACGAGATCCCACAGCCTGCTTTTGGAGTTTTTGTTTGTTTGTTATTTTTTATTTTTAGAGATGAGGTCTCACTGTGTTGCCCAGGCTAGGCTTGAACTGCTGAGCTCCAGTGATCCTCCTGCCTCAGCCTCCCAAAGTGCTGGGATTACAGGCTGTGAGCCACCATGGCCGGCCCTCACAGCCTGCTTTGGGAACCATATCCAAGGCTACATTTCATTCACTGCAAGGAACTTCTTTTTATTATGCTCAGAATAATGAACATGCAGTGTGTTGCCTTTGGTAGCTGTGGTTTATATTTGGGCTAGAAGATCAGCAATGAAGGACAAATAGATCTCATTCTGACCTCCTCAAAATCAGAAATTCTGTCATTGCAACCAAGGATGCATATGCAATAGATAAAATATTGAATGTTAACTTGGGGATTTTTTTTTTTTTTTTTTTTTTTTTTGAGACGGAGTCTCGCTCTGTCGCCCAGGCTGGAGTGCAATGGTGCGATCTCGGCTCACTGCAAGCTCCACCTCCCAGGTTCACGCCATTCTCCTGCCTCAGCCTCCCTAGTAGCTGGGACTACAGGCCCTCACCACCACACCCGGCTAATTTTTTGTATTTTTAGTAGAGACGGGGTTTCACCATGTTAGGCAGGATGGTCTCGATCTCCTGACGTCGTGATCCGCCCACCTTGGCCTCCCAAAGTGCTGGGATTACAGGCATGAGCCACCGTGCCCGGCTGGGGATTTTCTTTTTAATTTCCAAGTATGTGCTTTATGGCAGACCTTGGGGTACAGACTTGAGCTCACTTTGTGTTTTTGACATAGCCCTAGGCGTATTGATTCAAACACACTTAGTAATTAGCAACTTCTCTATTCTCTATTCTATAGATTCCTTTTTAAGTGGATAACCCAATGTGAGGTAGCTTTTGAACAACAACAACTTTATGATACGGTCAAAGATGGCTGGCTATCTTTAATCCCCGTTGAAGACTAAGGAGAAAAAAATAAAAAATTAGGTTGTAAACATAAAGAATGATCTCATGGTAATGTCATTTAATACAGGAGAATGATGTTTGATGGTAAAAAGGAAGAGCATTTTGCTTTATACATCAATTGCTAGTCAAAATTCTTTTTTAAAAAAATTTTTAGTTTAAGTTCGGGGGTGTACGTGCAGGTTGTGCAGGTTTGTTACACAGGTAAATGTGTGTCATGGAGGTTTGTTGTACAGATTATTTCATCACCCAGATATTAAGCCTAGTACCCATTAGTTATTTTTCCTGATCCTCTCTCTCCTCCCACCTTCCACCTTCCAATAGGCCCTAGTGTGTGTTGTTCCCCTCTGTGTGTCCATGTGTTCTCATCATTTAGCTCCCACTTATACGTGAGAACATGTGATGTTTGGTTTTCTGTTCCTGCAACAGTTTGCTAAAAATAATGGCTTCCAGCTCCATGCATGTCCCTGCGAAGGACATGCTCTTGTTCTTTTTTATGGCTGCATAGTATTCCATGGTATCTATCTACCACATTTTCTTTATCCAGTCTATCACTGATGGGCATTTGCATTGATTCCATGTCTTTGCTATTGTGAATAGTGCTGCAATGAACATACACATGCATGTGTATGTTACAATAGACTGATTTACATTCATTTGGGCATATACTCAGTAATGGGATTGCTGTTTTGAATGTGCTTCTGTCTTTAGGTCTGTGAAGAATTGCCACACTGTCTTCCACAATGGTTGAACTAATTTACACTCTGGCCAACAGTGTATAGTGTTCCTTTTTCTCCAATACTTCACCAGCATCTGTTATCTTTTTGACTTTGTAGCAATAGCCAATTCTGACTGGTGTGAGATGGTATCTCACTGTGGTTTTGATTTTCATTTCTCTAATCATCAGTGGTGTTGAGCTTTTTTTCATATGCTTGTTGGCCACATATATGTTTTATTTCGAGAAGTATCTGTTCATGTTCTTGGCCCACTTTTTAATGGGGTTTTTTTCTTATAAATTTGTTTAAGTTTATTATAGATCCTGGATATTAGACCTTTGTCAGAAGCATAGTTTGCAAAAATTTTCTCCCATTCTGTAGACTCTCTGTTTACTCTGGTTGATAGTTTCTTTTACTGTGCAGAAGCTCTTTAGTTTAATCAGATCCCATTTGTCAATTTTTGCTTTTGTTGCAATTGCTTTTGGTCTCTTTGTCATGAAATCTTTGCCCATGCCTATGTCCTGAATGGTATTGCTTAGATTGTCTTCCAGGGTTTTTATAGTTTGAGGTTTTACCTGTAAGTCTTTAATCCATCTCTAGTTACTTTTTGTGTATGGTGTAAGGAAGGGCCCAGTTTCAATTTTTTGCATATGGCTAGCAAAAATTCTTAAGATGGGCCGGGCGCGGTGGCTCACGCCTGTAATCCCAGCACTTTGGGAGGCCGAGGCGGGCGGATCACGAGGTCAGGAGATCGAGACCATCCCGGCTAACACGGTGAAACCCCGTCTCTACTAAAAATACAAAAAATTAGCCGGGCGTAGTGGCGGGCGCCTGTAGTCCCAGCTACTCGGGAGGCTGAGGCAGGAGAATGGCGTGAACCCGGGAGGCGGAGCTTGCAGTGAGCCGAGATCGCGCCACTGCACTCCAGCCTGGGCGACAGAGCGAGACTCCGTCTCAAAAAAAAAAAAAAAAAAAAAAAAAAATTCTTAAGATGGTGACTCCATTAAATTCACCTAGCTGTCTCCTCTCCTCACACTCTGTGCTTTAGTGACACTTTCTGTTTTCTCAGAAAACTTGAAAAGCCAGGTCACTGATTCTCTGACAGTGAAGCTCTGGACATCCTCCAAGTGCCAGCTCAAAGGTCACCGCCTCCATGAAGCCTTCTCTCATTCCTCACTCTCAGCCTTCTTAACCAAGTACACCTCCTCTCACTCCCACAGCGCCTTACCTATGTTACTTTTATGACACATAATTTTCAGCCTTGTCTTCATGGTTTTGAGCAGTTTTGTTTTCTAGGCTAAGCTGTGAACGGCTGGAGAGTAGATGGTTTCCCACCTTGGTATCGGCAGTGACCGCCACATTCCGGACGCGGAACAGATGTTCAATATTTGTACAGTGAATCACAAAATGCATTTCAGTCTCATTCCTTGGCTGCGCAGAGGAGATATCTCAGTGAATGTGGACAGATCGCGTCAATGTTACTTTCCCAACTGAGAAGAGATAAGGCCTGGCTTTCCCTTCATGGGTTAAGGAAGAAAGGTTTGACCAGTTTAAACCTGGGACAAAAGTATTCAAGGGTCACAGAGGAAAGCAGTGAGCCATCCTCAAGGAATCCCACCCTCTGCTCTTTCCCAACCACACAGAAACAGGTTTCTGAAGCCTATGGCTAAATGGGTGGGCCGGGAGGAGTTTGGCTTTCAGGCCTGCGTCAGGGCCTGAAGCATGCAAGGACAGTCTCCCCGCCCTCAGTTTGTGGAAAGTACCCGGTCCTCGGGTGAATCACGCCTCTACTGCAGCTGGAAGGGGCTGCAGCCTCTCATCCAGTTTTTTAAAGACTTCTCATGAAACCTGTAACTCTGATGAGGTGCATTAATGCCAATGCAGTTTCGTGGCCACAAACAAGAAACTGCAACGACAAAAAAAAAGAAAAAGTAAAATGGAACAGGCCTGGGAAGTTGGGCCTTGTAAGACTTGTGGTTAGAACTTAACCACATGTTAATGTACCTGTTTCTAGGGCAATGAAGACTGGATTTTATTAAATAAATATATATATATATATATATATATACACACACACACACACACACACACACACACACATACAGCTGCGGTTTTAAATCATGTCAACAACCAGACTAACTTTTTTAAACACTTTAAGTCCATGCTACAGACATTTCACTGTAGCATGAAAAACTGATATATTTTCAGATGGAAATGGATCAACTTGTAATTTCTGCTTCTAAAGTTAAAGGCACCAAAGGATCTTCCATTAGATGAGCCTAGACAGTGAATAAATATCGAAAGCTAACTTTAAAATAATTCCCCAAGCCTTGATTTATAGAGAAACCATAAATTATCCACTGTTAAAATTATGGCAGTAATGGATATATAATAGTAAATCAAATAAACCAATGTTTTTACATTTTTAAGAGTTAATTAAGTAAATGTCTATGGTTGACAGATTAGCTATCTCCATTATGCTTTTAAAATTTTAAGTACAGAAATCAAAACTTTTCCTGGGCCCAAATTTATTTGTTTCTCTTCCCAAATGAGAAAAAAAAAAGTTGAAAGGAAAGGGAAAAAATATTATTTTATTTTGCTTATGAAACTACTTTGCCTTTTTTTCTAAATAGTTTACTTATATAAATTACTTCCTTTTTTTTTTTTCAGAAACAGGGTCTCCCTTTGTTGCCCAGGCTGAGTGCAGTAGAACAATCACAGCTCACTGCAGCCTTGACCTCCAGGGCTCAGGTGATCCTCCAGCCTCAGCCTCCCAAGTAGCTGGAACTACAGGTACATGCCACCATGCCCAGCTAATTTTTTTTTTTATTTTGTAGAGATCGGGGGATCTGACTGTGTTGCCCAGGCTTGTGGTCTTGAACTCCTGTGCTCAAGTGATTCTCCCACCTCGGCCTCCCAGAGTGCTGGGATTTAGAGATGTGAGCCCCCTCACCCAGCCTAAATTAGTTTCAATAAGCACAATTTTGTGATTTTCCTGCTGTACTCCTAACAGCCCGCAGTTAAAGCATGTTTTGGGATCCAATTTCATGTTACCTGCAAATGCTCTCACCTCCTAAGTTTTTACCAACTGGTGGAAATTATGAGACCATAATTTTGGTTGATGGCATATATCAAAGTTTCAAGAAAGGCCAAGAAAATGGGATAAAACTACCTGAGAATCAGGTGTTTCCAACAGCAGCCTTTGTTCTTTCCTTTGTTTTCTTCATGGCTCATGAAAATGGAGCAGTTACAACGGATGTAACTTGCGGCTGGAGAAGGCCAAACTGGAGGAGAACCAATGAATGGGAGTTATAAGGCAGACGGATTTGGGGGTTCCATTAATAAGAGCTTTATGGAAACTGCTGCCTGAGAGACTGGGGGCAACCAGCTTCTGCTCAGGCCTGGGCTGCTGAAGGGATGTTCCCAGGCTGGCTAAGGATAGAGGGTAGGAGCCAAGTGACCTGTTGAGGATGCCTCTGTTGAACACTAATAACCTCTGTAATTTACAGGGTACTAACCACATGCTGGCGGCGAGTGTCTCTTTTCCCCCTCACTGCTTAACTTCATAGAAAAGTAATGGAGCAACTCACTGCCACCCCGTTTTACCTGCTGCTCACCCCTCAACTCCCTGCATTCCACCATGGCTCTCCCCACGGTCACGAATGACCCACTGATTGCCGGATCTACTGGACCCTTCTCAGTCTTACTTAACCTTTGACTGCAAGTGACACTGTGACCACACCCTCTTCCTTGAAACCGTTTTCCTGCTTTTGGTTTCCCCATCAGGCCACTGTTGCTTCGTGGGGCCCTCTTTCATCCAGTAAGTGCATGATTGGACACCTACTGTGTGCAGGAAACGGTGCTAGATGTTGTGATACAAAGATGAAGAAGACAGAGCCTCACCCTGATGGGAATTATGGCATTGGGGTTTGTGATTTTTTGAGAGCTCACGAACTGTCAGACATGAGTGCTGATGTTCTGATTGCAAAGTCTGTATCCTCTCCACTCCCCCACGCTGCACATCTCAGGATTTCCTTCACATGTCCTATATTCTCTCTACTCTTCCTTGACTCTCCCATCAACACTGAGATTCCCAAATCTCTATCCCCAACACAAATCTCCTTTCTGAGTGTCAGAGCCTTATAGCCCTTTTGACCTATTAGCTCCACCAGAAGGTTACATGGGCTCCTCAAAGTCCACATACTCAAAATTGAACTTTCCCTCTTTCCCCAGAGCCTCGTTCGTGCTCCTGGGTGTCCCTTCTCACCAATGCCTCCACCATCCTTTTGGGCCTAGCTAGACCACCAATCCATGAGTCATCTTTATTATTCCTGTTTTTCAATACCCACATCCAATCACTCATCCATCCATTTATATCTGAAATTAATCTACATATCTTCCAATTTTTCCTTTCCTTCTTATCACAGCCTGGGTCAACCCCTCATTGTTTTTCTTACCTAGAAGATTTCAAAAACTTCCCCAACAGTCTGCCTGTCTCTGGTGTTAGGTGCCCCCACCCAGCCATCTTGCACAAAGCCATCGGACTGACGAGGTCAGAGCATATCTCTGCTAAACCCTTCCATGATTCTTCATGGACTTTAGGAAAAGTTTACATTTCATGGTTTGCCAATTCTTTGTTTGTATTTGTCCGCTCATTTGTCTCCCTAACTTGACTGTGAAAAATGTGGAAACATAAGTCTTGTTCCATTCATCTCTATATTTCAGTGCTTAGCATGCTACCTTATATTAAATACACAGTAGGTGATTTTTATTTCCACCAGTCTAAGGTTACCGAAATCTCCTACTATTTAATCATTCCTTAGAAGCATTCTGAATATATATATATGATATATATCTGATATATATCATATATATATCATATATATCATATATATGATATATATATGATATATATGATATATATATATGATATATATGATATATATGATATATATATGATATATATGATATATATGATATATATATGATATATATGATATATATATGATATATATGATATATATGATATATATATGATATATATATGATATATATGATATATATATGATATATATGATATATATGATATATATGATATATATATGATATATATGATATATATGATATATATGATATATATGATATATATATTATATATATGATATATATATGATATATATATGATATATATATGATATATATATGATATATATGATATATATATGATATATATGATATATATATGATATATATGATATATATGATATATATATGATATATATGATATATATATCATATATATGATATATATGATATATATATGATATATATATGATATATATGATATATATATGATATATATATGATATATATGAGATATATATGATATATATGATATATATATGAGATATATATCTCATATATATCATATATATATCATATATATATATCACTAGAGTAGGCATTGAAATTATATCACTAGATTAGGCATTGAGAAACCTGCTGCAGAGGCATTATTTAATTAATCTAATCTCCCTTTACTGAAAACATTCTGTTAGTATACCCTCCTCCCTCTCAAAGAGCAAGGATCCCTAGAAAATGAGACCGGTGAGTTTCAGTACAGGCAAATAGGAAGGGAATGGTTTGGACTAGAGGATGTGCACTTGCTGGGGGAAGATGAACTCTAAACCGAAGACCCTGGCCAACCAGGGACAAATGCAAGCCTGCATACTAAATGCTTTAATGCTTCTGTAGATGACAGGAACATAGCCTACAGGGGGCATGAAGGACAAAACCTTCCCAGGGCAACTCTGTATGCTATCTGACTATCCCACTGCAAAGAGGCATCCTTTTATTTAATGAATTAACTTCTCTCCAATACATATAGAAAGGTCTTAATTACATACCATCTTCAGGAAAATGTAGAGAGTAGTCACTCAAACTATACTTCTGCAGGTCAGATGAGAAAACTTAGCTGAGAAAGGCTGGTTTAAGATGGACAGAACGAAGAATAAAAATTAAATCTACAAGACTATTCAGCCCTTACTTTATGGAAGAAAGTGGAAAAAGGAAGAGGATACTAGCAGTTTAGACAGCACAATATCTCTTCTCTTTTTCTGTCCAAGAATAACTGGGGAAATGCTGTATAGTGTCTACCTTTGTTCTGAGAATAGTATTTCATGTAACATAACATCAGGGTTGAAAGCAAGAGTATGCGTGTTGCAGCACATGGCATCACCACTTCCATCAACTTTTGAGTAAGACCAATCAGCAGCCAAACCAGGAAACAATGAAACAGCCCTTCCCAGCACAAAGAACAAGATAGAAATCTGCCTGCATGCTCAGAATGTGCAGAGGAACAGTGGGTCCTCAGGCTAGAATCAGACTGTCCCATGCAAGTATTCCTGCTCCAGGCAAGACCTTAGAGGCTTCCAGATGCCTTCAGGAACTCAGCATCATGTCGTTCTGCTGGGAGGGAGAAATTCCTTCCTGACTCCTGCAAGTGATCAACGTATGCCCTAAAGCATGAAATGTGATTACCTCTTTTCATTATCTCAGTTTACCAAGCTACACTCATTATCAGTGACGAGTCAGCAATTTTTTTCATGCTCTCAAAATATTACATGCCCTGGTTAACCACACAGAAAAGGCTTGTGCCAATAATTCAGGTTTGATTCAGCAATAGAATATTTTTCTTGAGACCTCATTTACAGTCAGATACCTCTGACCTCTATGGCAAGGCACCTCTCATAGCTACCTCATGGGAAACCTATTTGTCTGCTATAAGAGAATGGTTAAAAAAGAAAATTTCAATTATTAAATACATATAAAAATTGTATTTTGAGCTTTACTGATAGCTTCTCAAATTTAAAAAAAACTGCAATCATACAAATGTGTGGGCTGTACCAGAAAGTTTACATGCCAATGCTTTGGATAGTTTGGTGTTTATATGGTTTTGTGTGGGGGTTGTGTGGTGTCTGTGTGTGTGTGTGAGTGTGTGTGTGTGTGTGAGTGTGTGTGTGTGTGTGAGTGTGTGTGTGTGTGTCAGGGAAGTGGGAAGAGAAAATTAATTTTGCAAATTAATACTGTCAATACCTGAAAGAGGTCCAGGTCAACCACAAAATAGGCCTACTAGTAATTGTCTTAAATTAAAGTAAATCCAGCAAAACTACCCCCTCCCTGCTACCATTGATACTACCCTGCAAGAATGAAATTATTCATAAAGAATTTGGCAAATGCATTCAAACACATATCATTCTACGTATATAAAGACCTCACATCCCTTAACATACAATGTAAGAATAATGCCCCTCTGTTTTCTTAAAAGTGCTTATACAAGTATCAGCTCATTTGTGGTTCACTGAGTGTGAAACAATTACTCCCACAAACAGACCAACAGAAGGCAAAAATAGACTAGTGTGTATTTTTCAGTTTGTGGTCTCCTCTGGGTTGAAATACAAACAGAGAGTTAACAAAATGAATGACTACATTACACCTGAAGAAGATGGGGAAGCCAGATAACCTTCTAGCGTGCTTCTCTTTGACAGCCATTACGACACATGTACCTAGAAATATAATTTAGTCGGTTTTCAGGACACTCGCATTGTCGTTTGAATGAGAACCGTTAGCTTCAGGGCTCTGGAGGAAACCAGCTTCTGCCAGGGATAAATGAAGATGGCAGGCTTGTGCCGGGTGGTCCATCTCTGCAGCTCACCACTGGGTAAATAATGAGAATAGCTTTATTTGGAACACAGTGTGATCACCAAAGAGCGGCTATGACAACACATTGAAGAAGATGGATATTACATTTATTGCTACTTAAAACTTTGGCGTTCGGGATGCCAAAGAGGGAGAAACAAGCTTATCTATTCAGCTGTTATGGATTCTAGAGTTATTTACCATTCTGATTGCTGTGTAACAAGAAAGTGGCATATTCAACGGCTGTCATTTATTTCACTAATGGAATTAAAAATGAATGTGGCCAGAGCAATAATCAATGCCTCACCCTTTGTGATGAATTATGGTTTGGCTAAATAGTAGGACCTTTAATTATCTGGGAAAAAATTGCAACTTTCCAATATCTTTGCTGTGTTCTCTGAGATTTCCCTTACAAATGCAACCTGTCCTGTGCTATTTTTATTTAGCTTAAATAAATTTCATACTTATGAAAGGTGCTGGATTAACAACCATGGAGTAAAATTCTTTATCCCATTTGTTTTTTGGTATTAAACCTTTTTTAGAATACTATGTTCTTTCTTAAGTTCCATGCAGTCAATTCATTTGGTCATTTTTAGTAATATGTTTTCATAGCGGGTAAGTATTATTTATTTATTTATTTATTTATTTATTTATTTATTTTCAGACAGAGTCTCCCTCTCTCACCCAGGCTGGAGTGCAATGGCATAATCTTGGCCCACTGCCACCACACCCAGCTAATTTTTGTATTTTTAGTAGAGACAGAGTTTCACCATACTGGTTAGGCTGGTCTCGAACTCCTGACCTCGTGATCTGGCCGCCTCGGCCTCCCAAAGTGTGGGGATTACAGGCGTGAGCCACTGCACCTGGCCTATTATTCTTATTTTTTAGATAAGAATCCTGAAACATAAAAAGTAAGAGATGGGGTCTTGGTCACAGAAAAAGTTAAGGACTGAGTTGTTCTCTGAAGTAAGCCATTCTCACATTGCTATAAAGAAATACCTGAGACAGGGTAATTTATAAAGAAATGAGGTTTAATGGGCTCATGATCCTGCAGGCTTTACGGGCAGCATAGTGCTGGCATCTGCTGGGCTTCTGGTGAAGCCTCAGGGAGCTTTCAATCATGGCGGAAGGTGAAGGGGAAACAGGCATTTCACATGGTGAAGGCAGGAGCAAGCTGGAGAATGGTGGGGAAGAGGCCACCCTTTACAACAACCAGACCTAATAAAAACTCACTCAACTATGGCAAGGATAGCATCAAGCCATTAGGGTTGGTGCCAAACCATTCACAAGAAATCTAACCCCATGATCCATTCACCTCCCACTGGGCCCTATCTCCCATACTGGGGATTACAATTCAACATGAGATTTGGCAGGGACATATATTCAAACCATATCATTCTCCCAGCTCTGGATGTGGCCCCCTGACACACACTGAAGCTACTGGGATAGGGTGGTCGACGAATGCCTGTATAGAATCTAAGAATATTCCACTACAGCTTCACAGATGAAACCAATCAGCTTCTATCCAATAAACACTAAGAGAAGCTAATGTTCAATGTTGGATGAAAACCAAACATTCACATGCAAATCACTCAAAAATGTATACTTGAGACTGATATTGGAGAAAAAGAAGCAAATAATGATTTTTTAAAAAAGAAAGGGACTTCTGATTTTGCTGCTTTTTTAAAAAATATAACTGTTGACTCCAAAATGTAGACATATAAAGGGGAGGAAATTAAACCCTTGCATCCAGGTACACTTTAACAACCAAAGAGAAACAAACTATTTCTCCCTGGAGATATCTCTGGTCCCAGATATTGTCTCAACAATATCCCTTATCACAAAAATGTGTTTTCCTTTTATCTAGATAATGTGCAGATTCAGCAACAACAGCGTAAAAAGTTTAAGTTGACTTTCCAATACAAGGTAAGGTTTCTAAGATTCCATCTACAAATATTCTACCAGAATATTTTCTTAATCATTAACAATTATAAAGAAACAAGGGAGGAGGGTATTTCATTCTTCTTTTAGTTT
Organism: Homo sapiens; assembly: GCF_000001405.40. NCBI lineage: Eukaryota > Metazoa > Chordata > Mammalia > Primates > Hominidae > Homo > Homo sapiens. The sequence goes on along the minus strand of NC_000010.11, from coordinate 8,358,260 downwards.
ACATTTTTATTAAGGTCTTCATGTTTATAAACTATTGCCATTTTAAAATTTATATCACTTACCCGTTTATCTATAAGAACTGTAAGTTCTCCAAATCAATTTGTGCATGGAATATTATATATTAGGATGCAAACTATTTGACTATGGAGCTGGGTGTAAATATTTTTACAGTTTGTTGTTATCCTTTAATTTTGTTTATCTAAAGAGATTGTGATAATCAGAATCTTATTTACTTAAATCTTCCTTGGTCAAAGTCTTTTTCTCTGCAGCAAGTTTTTTTTTTTTCAACTTTTAAGCACGAAAAGTTTCTTCCATTTAGGAAGTCCATAGTTAGTCACATTTTCCCCTTGACTTTTTGATAGACTGCTCATGAAAAGCTCCAGAGGTAAAGCTTACTTCTGTCATTAGGTGCAGTTTAGTCTCCACACGCAATAGTCTCCACACTCAACACCCAAGTGAAACACCGAAAGATGAAGCATTTTAAATTTACCTTAAATCATTAAAAACTTCTCACACAAAGCACACACCCGTGTATACACATGTATACACACACACACACATACTCATTTAAATGGGCTCCTCAAAAAAAGTACTGTCAAAGAGATGAGCAAGTAGAACATCACTAATTCAACTGTAATCCTTTCCCACTCACCTTTGAAAATGTTCCTGGACTACTACTAGGTAAAAGATATTCTCCTTGATATATAAGATTCTTTCCAAGGGGTATTTTACAATTAAATTTAGAGCCCCCCTGCCCCGTGGCAAAATTGGTCCCCTGACCTATAATTCTCAAATGGGAGATTCTGCAGTGGAGAGGTCCCAAGCCCCACTTCTACTCGTGCACTCTAATTCGGGAACTCCTGGGATGGTGTTCTACTTATAGTCCCTTTACCCTGTGGGATGCCAAGGGCCTTAACCCCATCTCTTACTTGGCCCTCAAAGTCAATTTTTCATTCTGACTCATTGCCCATGTCCTATGTCTGATGTTTCTCACTTGATGAGCTAGTTAATGTTTCTAGGGAGCATATAAAGAATGCTTCAACACATCTCTTCCAAAATATCCCCCCTTGGTCTATGACCTCACCAGCCCCCAAAAGAAAGGCAGGATCCAGTCCCACTAGCCCTTCACCTGGATATCCTCTAAGACAATCGGAGAGTGAATGAAAATTATGTGAGCATCATGAAAGTTTTTCTTTTCCTTTGAAAAACTCAGGATAAAGCAAGGCATGAAAAATATTTACAATTTCTGACTGATTTTCCAAATATGAAAAAAATGATTTCCCCTCCATGCCTAGGCAAATGCCAGCCAGTTCAGGTTATTGTTTGCCTCTGAAACTTAAATGTGCAGTTGCATTAGGGGGAAAGAGTGTAACTTCAGAGAAAACCACAAGGAAACACACTTAGATGGAGTAAGTGGAGTCCAGTGAGCTGTTGACACACAGATGGAATGACGGCTTGATAAGAATATTTTAGAGGAGATTGATTAGAAGACTAGAATAGTAACTGACCCATGGTAGGTAGAAATAAATACTTGAAGTTTGAATGAAAGAGTGTTGAATGGTAAAGGAAAAGGAGTTAGGAAGAAGAGGTGGAGACAGTGAAGGAAGGAAAGCAAGGGAGAGAGAGAGGAGAGGAAAGGAGGGAGGGAGGGGAAGATGGGAAAAAGAAGAAAAAGGATGTCAAATATTGAGGAAGGGAGGGAGAAAATAAATTAAGAAGGAAGGAAGGGAGAGAGGGAGGAAGGAAGGAAGGAAGGAACGAAGGAAGGAAAGAAGGAAGGACGGAAGGAAGGAAGGAAAGAAGGAAGGGAGGGAGGCAGGGAGGGAGGGAGGAAAGAAGGGATGTAAGGAAGAAGGCAGGGAAGGAAGGAGGGAGGGAAGGAAGAAAGGAGGTAAGGAAGGAAGGAGGGAGAGAAGGAGGGAAAGAATGAAGGAGGGAAGGAAGGTAGAAGGGAGGGAGGGAGGGAGGCAAAGACAGAGACACAGAGAGATTCTGCCTGTGTCTATCTGAGCAGAAATTGACTCTAGATTTACAAATCTGTTTTTCCTTCTTTAAAGGAGTAACAAGGTGGAAAATCCACATATTTTATTTCTAGGGCCCCTTGATTTCATCAACAAATCCCCACAAATTACAAAATCCAGACCAAATCTATGGTTTACTGGTTTACCTTTATAAGCTATATAATAAAACAGTAAAGAAAATCAATTGGTTTCTAATTACCTCTCAAAATACTCTCAACAATCATAATAGAAATAAATGTGTTTCTTTCCCTGCTAAGACATGGCCTCTGCTTCTTTTATGATCCCCTGCTTAAATTAAATATTAGGCACCTCTGGCATGGGACACTAGCGAGGAGAGAGAAGCATCCTGAGGCAGGCTCTGCTGTTGCTGTTTCTCAGTAGATACATCAGGAGGGGCCTTTTCTTAGCTTTCTTTTTCGTCCATTTATTTTTAGAAGTGCGTCTGGGAAACTGAATGAGGATCTAAGTAGACCATTGGACTGTAAGGCAGAGAAAATGATAAAAGCATTTGAGTGGCTATTGGATTAAGATCCCACAGTTCAAGAAGGAAAGTTCTAGCAGAGGTGCACTTGGGTATACGTCTTAAAACTCTCAATCTATATGTAATTTTTATTGATCACTTAAAATAAGCTATATGAAGAAATGGTTCATTTTGAACAATCCCTATTAATAAGGAAATGTACTCAGTTAACTTTTAGGATTGCAGTCAAGAGTCTTAGAAAACCTGCTAATATCTTTAACTCATATTTATTGATTTGGAATTGCGTGTTGGACATTTTCCTGTATTTCTAATATCTTTTTGTTACATGAGATTTTGCATCTAATAGTTCTGTCTAAACAGTGAAGATCTATATGGTATTATTTATTCAATCATTCATTAAACATTTTGTAATGCCTGCTAGGCAAGAAGCTAGCCCATTGGATATACAAAGTTGAATAAGAAATGGCCAACCACAGTAGCTCACACCTATAATCCCAGCACTTTTGGGGGCCAAGGTGGGCAGATTGCTGCAGCCCAGGAGTTCAAGACCAGCCTGGGCAACAAGGCAAGGCACTGTCTCTACTAAAAATAGAAAAATTAGCTAGGCGTGGTGCCCCATACCCGTAGTCCCAGCCACTTGGGAGGCTGAGATGGGAGGATCGTTTGAGCCTAGGAGGTCAAGGCTGCAATGAGCTGAGATTACACTATTGCAATCCAGCCTGGGTGACAGAGCAAGACACTGTTAAGAGAGAGAGAGAGAGAAAGAGAGAAAAAGAAAAAAGAAAGAGAGAGGGAAAGAAAGAAAGAGAGAAAGGTAGGTCATTGAATTTCTTACAGCTTAATATGTTACAATATGGCTAGCACCTCATTTGTGACATATCAAATACTAAGCATGTTACATTTATCATACATTATTTAATTCTCACAACCATCAGGAGCTAGGCATTTTATGATTTCTACTTTGTAGATGAGAAGATTAAAGCTCAGAGAAGTTAAATAACTTATCTAAGTCCTTCTGCTGAGAAAGAGCAGAACTAGGATTTAAATTTAAGATTTTCTGACTCCAAAATTTATCCTTCTATTTTCTTTGCTGTACTCTCAACCAGTCAGCACCATCTGGAATCATAGTGTGATATATTTGTTCTATTAAGAGTATTTATTAAGTTATTTGCCCTAGTGTTAATAATAAAAGACTAAAAATTCAAGATAAACATTATGTGGGTTAAGAAAGTAGCAAATCAACAGAAATAGCATTAAAATAATGTATTATACAAAGGAATGAGTAAAATATGCACCATTTCTGGTATTCTCAGATATGAGGTAATTTTACATTAATTGTAGCATGTATTACTATGTATTTCCAAGACGCAAAAGAAAGTTCTGACAATGATTGCATAGAGCAATTTTTGGAACTGTTTGATCTTTGCACATAGCTCTTTTGTGAGCCTCAATGTCCCATAAACTTTAAAAAGATTCTTTTCTTATCAACAGGGATGATTCTCATTCTTGGGTTGAACAAAACTTCACTTTATTTCCCTACGTACTATAGACCTGGTTTTCTGGGAAGGAATTAGGTTAACTGTCTTAGTATTATACTCAACCACCTGCTTAACAGTGGAAACCCAGTGCAGGGCATGGTTCAAAGGGATGTGTAATATCTCAGAAGCCACCTGAACAAAGATTTTCCATGTTCATGAGCTTTTAATGTCAAATGAATGTCCCTAAGAAACCCACGTGATGACACTGAAAAAGCGCTCCTGAAGTTTTGACTGAAAAAGAGGTGTGTTTTGGTAAGTAAATACCTTGCAATTATTTAGAATCTTCTCAGGGTAAAAGAGACTAAGAATAGCAGGTTCTAAAAATGGCCTTCTGTTTATCTCTTCATATTATTCAACATTGATTTTAACTATTAAGTCTTCCCTCATAAGGTGGAGATCACGTTTGCATTAAAGATCCCCTGACTTTCTGGAAAATTGAGCTGGAAAGCAGTGTTACTAGAAGTAGATCTTTGATTTCAATATTGACAAATATATAAACTGAATGTTTTTCAATTGATAAATGGTGGACTGGCCGTCAGGAGTGGTAGGATGGCCTTCAGAAGTGGCATGAGGATAGACTTACTAGTTTAAATGTATAACATATTGTGTTAGGAAAATGTCTCCCAAAATTTACTGTTCAATGTGTTTTTGTTGTTGCTTTTTGTTTTTTTTTTAGCATGGTGGTACTTAAAGGCAATGCATCTTTAAATTATTAAAGAATAACTCAGGAAATAATGAGTATTATTTTTATCCCAATAATTAAGCACCTAGATATATACTGGATCTATTGGAAAGTTTCCAAGTTTCCCATACATAGAGTGCATATCAGGAATCAAATCTAAATCATCTCTCTGTGGCAGTTGGGCTTCTAATTTCATGGGTCAGGAAAGGATGAGGTCAAGTGCCTCTTCAAGGGTCAACGATGAATCTGTGGGGGAATTGGATTCCAGAGCTTATGCAAAATCTGGACTAGCAGCATTGTGTCGGCTCCAGTTGAGACTCAATGTCTCACAAATAAAAAGATTCTTTTCTTATATAATAATATAATAGTAATTCTGAAGTAAGAAAACTGAACTAGAAACTACCTCATATTATTATGGTGAACCAATTAAGTCGTTAATTGGTCTAAGTTGTATTGCTGGGAATAGTTTAATTTTCTTAAATTTGACCTGGCTAATTATAAATGGATGGTTCCAAAGCACCTTAAGCACCTTCTCACTCACACAAACTCATTATTGTGAAAATGGTGTTGATGATTTAAAGGCAGCTGGCTTGGCTTCACCATCCACCTCACTGTCTTCTCGGATGAGTCACCATTTTCTCAAGTGAAGAAGAGTTTTTCTGCGGCCACCGCTGTTGGCATGGCAGAAACTCCAGCCAACCACATTTGGGGGCCCTCCTTGGATTCTCCTCTGCCTCACAGATCATTAAGCAAATTGTCAGCTCAGTTTTAATTACAGCACTTTTATGACTGCAGGTGACGTAAGAGACACGGTGGGCACACCTTGTTTTTTTCTAAGCCGGGGTGTGTTTGTAGTGCTGGCTGTTATGGCCAAAGCATTTTTCATCTTGCACAAACTGAGCTAATTTATGTGGGAACCCAGACCCTCTCAATGTTGTTTGTACTGCATCAATTTGCAGAGTCTAATGAGCTCTTTTTAAAGAATGGAAAAACCCTCCTTCGTTGCCTTTACTGAATACCCTTTTAAAGCCTGCCACAGAAAACAAAGATGCTCAAACAGAACACACACACACAAAAGAAAAAACAAAACAAAAAATAGGCCCACTTTGTCCTAATTTATGGCCTGACATAAGAGAATGGTGCTTAGACATCATAGCATCACAAATGAGCCTAACGGCCTGTGCTCTCTGGTTTGTCCTGTCTTTGGTGGCAAGAATCCCCATTAACTAAACTGCTAGAGAGTGCTTGAGGTCTGAAGGAGTCTGGTGTTTATTTTCCGATAATACAGATTTTATGTACCCAGTGGCTTATGCATGGCAACCCTCTGGAGATACGGTGTGTAGCATTTGTTGAAATGCATAACCAATTAAGCTACCTTCAATGACTTTATGAACTCCAGATTCAGCAAGGCAAGTGGAAAATCCTTTAGCCAATGTTACCCTGATGGTTTGCAAGGAAGGAATCAGCCATCAATAAGGATAGACAGAGGCCAGCACATCCTGACTCAACCAAAGCTATAAAACCAAAACTATAAAAATAAAATGGAGTTCCAACTACCAGAAATCAAGCAGTGGTACGGTGGGAATAGAAAATAATGGCTTAAAAATAGTAATTTCATGTGCTGGACTCTATGTTGGGAGATTAATACCTGTGTTTATCTAAGAATTTCCTCAAACTTTTCTTTTTTCTTTTTTCTTTTTTTTTTTTTTTGAGATGGAGTCTCGCTCTGTGGCCCAGGCTGGAGTGCAGTGGTATGGTCTCAGCTCACTGCCACCACCTCCTCCTGGGTTCAAGAGATTCCCCTGCCTCAGCCTCCCAAGTAGCTGGGATTACAGGCACGCGCCACCACACCCAGCTAATTTTTGTATTTTTAGTAGAGACGGGGTTTTCCCATGTTGGCCAGGCTGGTCTCGAACTCCTGACCTCAGGTGATCCACCCGCCTCGACCTCCTAAAGTGCTGGAATTACAGGAGTGAGCCACTGCATCCAGCCTAAGCTTTTCTGTTGAGGTCACACGTATACCACTGGGCTTTAAGTTCATATCAATATTTGGATTTCAAGGGGACACTATTGCCTTTAAAAATTATTTTATCTATAAGCTTGCCAAGAGACTTCAAAAATTTTGCTCAAAATAAAAGCAGCATAAATTTTCCCTGGGCTAAAAACAGATGTCTAACCAAGACAGGCTTCTTAGACTCACCGACACCAGAATTCAGTATAAGGCTAAAACTTCTCTAAGGTGATGGCAGCATTCCTAAGTCATTTTTTAAAAAATTGTTTAACTTTTTTTTTTTTTGAGACAGAGTCTCACTCTGTCACCCAGGCTGCAGTACAGTGGCGCGATCTCGGCTCACTGCAAGCTCCGCCTCCTGGGTTCATGCCATTCTCCTGCCTCAGCCTCCCGAGTAGCTGGGACTACAGGTGCCCACCACCACGCCCAGCTAATTTTTTGTATTTTTAGTAGAGACGAGGTTTCACCATGTTAGCCAGGATGGTCTCGATCTCCTGACCTCATGATCCGCTGGCCTCGGCCTCCCATAATGCTGGGATTACAGGCGTGAGCCACCGCGCCCAGGCAAAATTGTTTAACTTTTATTTTAAAGCATCATACTAGCATCTCAAGATGCAATATTTTCATTGCAAGGCTGTGATTTGCATGCAGAAGATCAAATGATACATGGCTCCTCATAGTTCTGTGCCAGATATTGACTCCAAAATCTTGCTTTCAGACAGGACCAAATAATCCCCATACTGCAATAGCTGACAGTAGTCATTCCTCTAAGTCAATGCTAGATGACTTTGTATAACTAAAGTCCTGTCTCATTTCAAACCTTATGAAACAGAAGACAAGAGAAGGACAAAAAAGGTCATTTAGAGAAACGTAAAACTGGAAAAACCACCACTGATGCAATATACCTCCTAAACTAAACACAAAACACACACAGTGTTGAAAGTATTTTAATTATTTTTTTTAAGTACACAGCGTGCTGGCTTGCCCCAGCATACTGAAAGAAGTTTAAACGTTCATGCTTTTTCTAGGAAAAAAGACTTGTTTTCAAATAGGATTAATCTGAGTCATCTTCAGCAATTCCCCCCACCCCCTATCTTATGTTGGGGGAAATTGCTAGAAAACTTCTCAGCATGAAACATTTTAAACAAGAATCCGGGCATGGAGGCAAAAGGTTTCCTAACACTCCAAGAAGAGAGCACTTCCCCTCCAACATAAAATATTTATCCAATTGTTTTTCCCACCTTAGGGATACTTTATTCAGCTCAGTTTGATACGGATGATGTTTCTTTTATCTTTTTATGTTGCCTTTCACTGTATTCAGCAGGCCAAGACTGAAAAATAGAGGTGCCGATATTGAGAAACAGAAGAACAGAATTGCTGAGTGAGGGCTCATGTCTTAGATAGATGGGGAGTTTTCCAGCCTGGACTTGCTAAACTCAAGGGGTAAACTTCAGATAAGGATCTGAGCTCTCGGGTGTTTAACTGAACCAAACCTCCCAGCCTTTTTGAGGTTTGCCGATGACTGGTAATTATATTGTCATTTAACAAAAGCATCTGCATTAAACCAGAGATGTTACATTAATGGTTAAGTTCACATCCATTAAAAACATTGCACGTCGACAGAGCACACAGGGTCTCCACACCGTGTGGAAAGGGATGGGAACTAATGCAGCTTAGAGGCCATAAATCGATGGCTAAATACCACCTGTCAGGTTTGGAAGTTATGCTAATGCAAGATATTTTACTTCTTTCCAGTGTACAGAGGTCAAAGGAGGAGGTACAGATATGTAACTTACGTGGAAACACGGAGGAAAACCCCCAAAGAATAAGTTAATGTAAACATCTTCAATAAAGCGATTATATCTAAGTCAGGATTTTAATCACCCATCTAGAAGGTAAATGCCAAATTCTTGGGTTTCCAGACGTGGCAACGGAAGGAATGAGGGCTCATCCCTAGAATCTATAACCCTTTCTTCGAAGTGCTTTTATTTTAACTAATGCATAAATGGGGGGTAGAAAGTAATTTGTCCATTTTTTACTCATAAACTTCGGAAGTGAACATATAACCCTTTACGGTTTCCTAGGCAACTATGGTAATAAGCAAAATTTAATATATAAGGTCTTTTAAAATTTCTTGTATGTATATAATTATTTCCCCCCAGGATTATATGATGCCAACTGGCTATATGCTAAGTCAAAGTAAGCATTTTTAATGGATGTAGAATAAGTTTAAAGTTAACATAAATAATGTATCAGTAAAAAAACATCACCTGAGAAAACTCCCAATTCTCTTTTAAAGGAATATACTCTGTAAACAGTGGATAGCTTTTTGTCGGAGATCTTTTTCTCTGCACAAAAAAGAAAGAAAGAAATGCTCAAAAGGGAACCCAGAATAAAGAGCCGTAACCCAAAAGCAAGCAATGGCTCTCGGGATCTGAGACAGTAGAGTCTGAGCTTGAAGATGGGTTCCTAAATGCCATGAGCCACAAACAGCCAAACTAGGACAAGAATTCAAAACCACTGTTAAAAACGTTTTAAAGGGTCACACTAAGAAGGCCAGGTAGAACTCAGGGGCAAAAGGGGAGCTAGGTTCTCTGATCTTTACACGAAGAGCTGACAGTAGCCTCAGCATAACATCTGCTTTAGGAGGTAAGGACCAGAGGTGAACAGACCAGGTCCTACTCTAGACAGGACCAGGAAGTTCTCTTACCCAGTTCACCTGGCATCCACCATCGACACCCAGGTCTCATCAGCCCAGCCCTGACATTCCTCTCTAGTGTCCAAGACTAAAAGTAAGAATGCCAACCCCCTAGTGCTCCTAAGGTTTGTCTTTTTTTTTTTTTTTTTTTTTTTTTTTTTTTAAATAGAGACAGAGTTTCACTATGCTGCCTAGGCTGGTCTCTAACTCCTGGGCTAAAGCAATCCTCCCACCTCGGCCTCCCAAAATATTGGGATTGTGTCATGGTGCCTGGCCAGGTTTGTCTTCACAAAAGTTAGTAAGTCTCTGTGCCAAAACCTGGATGATGCTAGTCTTCCTGAAGCCAAGTTCTGGTCATCTCACCCGCTTTTCATAACCCTCCAGTGTTCCCCTACTGCCTACCAAATCAAGTCTAGGTCATCTAGGAGCTAGCATCAGCCTCTGACCTCTGCCAGACATAGATTCTACTTTCTAATGTGCTTGCTCTCTGAACCCTGCGTGTGCCCCATAGTGTCTGAGTCTGAGTCTATGCCAGTGCATGTGCTACCTCCTCTCCCTGGAGTGTCCTTGACACCTCCCTTCAGAACTCTACCCCTTCACATTCCAAATCTACCTGCCCTCCAAGTCTTTCTCGGATATCACCTCCTAGAAAAGCCCTCCCAGATTCTATCTCTCCACCAATACTCTATTCAATGGGCCACACTTTTTAAGAGCACAATCTGTTGGTTTGCCCCAGCCTACTGACGGAAGTTTATGCACTGACATTGCATCTAAGAAAACCTTTGTCTTTACAGTGTGGCGATTCCTGAAGGATCTAGAACTAGAAATACCATTTGACCCAGCCATCCCATTACTGGGTATATACCCAAAAGATTATAAATCATGCTGCTATAAAGACACATGCACACGTATGTTTATTGTGGCACTATTCACAATAGCAAAGACTTGGAACCAATCCACATGTCCAACAATGACAGACTGGATTAAGAAAATGTGGCACATATACTCCATGGAATACTATGCAGCCATAAAAAAGGATGAGTTTATGTCCTTTGTAGGGACATGGATGAACCTGGAAACCGTCATTCTCAGCAAACTATTCCAAGGACAGAAAACCAAACACCGCATGTTCTCACTCATTGGTGGGAACTGAACAATGAGAACACTTGGACACAGGAAGGGGAACATCACACACCGGGGCCTGTCATGGGGTTGGGGGAGGGGGGAGGGATAGCATTAGGAGATATACCTAATGTAAATGACATGTTAATGGGTGCAGCACACCATCATGGCACATGTATACGTATGTAACAAACCTGCAAGTTGCGCACACATACCCTAGAACTTAAAGTATAATTTAAAAAAAAAAAAGAAAAAAAAAGAAAACCCTTGTCTTTAAATGAGATGAATTTGAGTTACCTTCTGCTGTTCCTCTGGAAGAGTCTTCTCCAACAGACTAAATCCTTTGTATATATGTCCATCTCTATTTCATTTTTACATTCTTCTCTGTGTTATTTGCAGCTAAAAGGTTTGCTATCATGCCTTCAAAAAGTGGCTGAAATTTATTTTTTTATTTAGGGGTGCTAAAACTACTAATAGCAGGTGTTCTACATAACTATGTGAGATGACCATCAGCTCATTTGCACTGAGTGACACTTGACTAATGATTGACTTTATGATGTTTGTACAGTGCTTTACAGACACCTGCAAGCCTGGAGGTGGGCAGGGAGGAGGCAGACTGGATTCAGGGAGAACACCCATGTCTTCAGAAACAGATCCGCAGAGGCTCCAGCCCTGGAATTAGTAGTCTGACACCTCAGCACACTTGACAATAAAACCTATTGTTATGCCAGTCAGCATGGGGTGGGAGAAATTTGAAAATCTGTCTAGAAATGCAGGAAGCAGTAAGCAATCTAACCAAAGCTCAAATTGCCCCAAAGAGTGTTTTTTTTTTTTCTAAACAGGAACAGTTCAGTTGATTCCAGTGATACTGTAGCAAACTGATTTTTAAGGCAAAAAAAAAAAAAAAGATTCAATTCAACTCAGACATAATACCTTGCGTAACTAGTTAGAAAAACTCAATGTATAGTGGAATTTGACAAATACATCAAAACCAGACATTATCATGAGAAGGAATGGTAGAAGGGTAGATGGGAAAATTTCTTCACGCTCTTTTTTCCCCCTGAATCAAAGAGTATTTGACGAGTTATTCAAGGTTGTTGGTTTGAGTAGGTTTCTGTTGTTGCTGCTGCTGCTTTTCTTGTTACTGTTGTTATCATCGCTTTCTGATAATATATTTACTAAATGTTAGTGCATAAATCAGAATTTGCTTGAATATCTTTATCGTGTTCCTTTAAAGTGATAAATATTTATAAATATTGAAATCATTGACCTGCTTTTGATTGGATCTATCAATCAAGACAGATTAAATGTCTATTCCATTTTAAAAGAAGAGCAGAAGTTATTCAAAATTATAACTCAAAACAAACTAGAAAGGAACAATTAACCACCGGCCTCATCATTAGACACCTAGTATAGAAAAGAATGGATAGCCCAGAGGTGGGGTGGTCAGGAGGTTTTTTCCAGGCTTGGAATAAGAAAAGCTATGGCCAAGAAGGTGTTGATTTCTCAGTAACCTAAAAGGATTTCTTTTTCTTAACTTACAAGAAATGTAAAAATACTAGCAAATAACCAGGAAAAAATAATAAAGATAGCTCATAAGTTTAAATAATATTATCTTCAGTGGCAGCTAAACAGAGTACATCTTCAGCCTGAAGAAGAAATCATTAAGGCATATAGTATAATAGGACCACACTTTTTTCATGGAATCAGTGTGCATGAAGTGACACTGAGTAAGCTCAGAAGTGATTATCACAAAAAGAAGGAAATGTAAAGTAGAGAATGGCGAACGCTCCTCATTTTGGACAGAAGGAAATTAGAGGAAATGAGCATAAACTTCAGCAGGAAGAAACTAAATGGAGTAAAGGAAGTATTTATGGAAGAATTATTAGGTCCTGAAATAACTTCCTGAAGGAACTTTTGACATATTTTTCTCTGGGAGTCTTTTGAAACAATTATTCTAGTTTTGTCATATTCAGAGACTATGAGAGCTCTTCTTTTTCGGCCCCCAAAACTATATTTCAGTTTATGAAAAGACGTCAGCATCGGGCCGGGCATAGTGGCTCATTCATGCCTGTAATCCCAGCACTTTGGGAGGCCAAGGCAGGTAGATGGCTTGAGGCCAGGGGTTTGAGACCAGCCTGGCCAACATAGTGAAACCCTTTCTTTACTAAAAATACAAAAATTAGCTGGGCGTGGTAGTGCATGCTGTAGTCCCAGCTACTCAGGAGGCTGAGGCAGGATAATCACTTGAACCTCGGAGGTGGAGGTTGCAGTCAGCTGAGATCACACCACTGCAATCCAGCCTGGACCACAGAGTGATACTCCATCTCAAAAAAAAAAAAAAAAAAAAAAAAAAAGAGAGAGAGAGAGAGAAAATGAAAGACACCAGTATTGGTTATTAAAAATAAATAAACAAAGTGGGAGTCAGAAATCTGGCTCTATGTATGTGATTATTTTTTTATTTTGGCTCTAACAATTTATGTGACTTTGGAAAACAGTTAGTACCTTGAGTATTCATAACTGTGTCTACAAAATGTCTGCCTTTAAAAGAAATACCATAAAACCAACTTGTATAATACAAATGATACAAGATTGCTATTGCTATTGTTGTTAGAGAAACAATTAGATCAGGTAGAGGCATACAGGCCAGCTCAAATTTCTAATGTTCTAGTCTTGAGGTGAGTGAATGGTTAGAGGATGTTTGTTTTTGTCTTCATACTTGCATTTATGTTACTCTACAAACAAATAGCACGTAATCAGCATTTTTAAAAAATATAGCTACTTGTATATTTATTACACAGTATTAAATATTTTGTTCATAAAACATTCTAATACATATATGATTTCTAAATTTCAATCTTGATGTAAATTGAATATCATAAACTGCAATACATTACAGTACAATAAAATAGAATACAACAAAGTCAATGCAATGATTAAAAAAAAAAAAAAGGTGATGGCCAGAAGTTTAGACAAAGATTCACAATTTATCAGCTCAAGGAATCTGATAAGTGATATATTTCTCTTGCCTGCCACCTTGTAAGATGTGCTTCTTCCCCTTCCACCACGACTGTAAGTTTCTTGAGGCCTCCCTAGCCATGCAGAACTGTGAGTCAATTAAACCTCTTTCCTTTATAAATTACCCAGTCTCAAGTATTTCCTTATAGCAGTGTCAAAACGGACTAATACAGCACTTGAACTGTAAAGGGACTATAGAATTTAAATGTAGGATTTAAAATATGTACAAAGATCCTTCCTGGACATTTACAACAAACACATTTTGCAAAGCACGTCTGCTGCAAAGGCAAATCACTCATCTGTTTTAGGTTACTGAACAACATTTAGTTGTTTTGAACTGTAAGCCCAATCACTTTACCATTTACCCTGCCTAATTGTTCAAATATGTCCTAAGTTTGTGTTTTAAAAATCATAGAATGGCTGTTTTCTCTTGGGTGGAGGATTTGACTATTCCACTCACATGTGCACCAGTCAATCAAGGTTGCTTGGTAAGTAGCAGATAGGTTTCTAAGCAGAATGGAGAATTCCAGGGAATAGAGAAATCATGATTTGGATGAAGAACCACTGGCTCGAGATAATTAACTCAAACTATGTGAGAATAAGATATCACATTTCTAATATAGATCTTGTAAAAGCTGCTCCAGACAGCAGGCTTAGTTAAATTGTACCTATAGAGTGAATACTTAGTTTTTAAAATGTAAGATCATTTTAATTATGACCTAGAGCTCTCTGAAATGTAGGTATTCTGCAATTGCAAATTAACGAGAGTCACACCCGTCGCCAGCTTCCCTGTCTCCCTCCATCCGAATCTGATCAAGGTGAGAAAGAACCCTCATGGAAAGCCATACTGGTCAATGGTGTGGAATTTCTGTTTCCAATCTTCCTATATTCTCTTTCATTTTTAGTGATGTGAATGTATTATTCTCTCTTCCTAGAACATTCACAGTCCATTCCGACCCCCACCTTTTGCAAGGTGAAAATTCCTGCTCAAAGTTGAGATTTAAGCTTAGATGTCACTTTCCCGATGGATTTATCCCAGAACACTTCCAGGGTAGCCTCAGTGTGCACCATGCAGATGGCCCCTTCAGGATGGAAAAACTTACTTCCCAGCTGCTGAGAGTCCTGTTGTCAGCCTTCTCTTCAGGAAGAACACTCAACTAAACAGCAGCTCCTGACACAAAGTCTCACTCCTTCCTTGGAAAGGGCAGCCTGCAGCCAATGACTGCTTGATGCAGGAAGGTCCCAGCCCCTTGCTCCAACTCTGAAGGATCACTTCAGGCTCATGGCTCCCAATGGGTTTGGCTGAGGCTTTTGTTGTGAAGATATGGCTGCCCAACTTCTCCCTCTGCCTAATCC